>NC_000002.12:56553988-56857018 GCF_000001405.40 Homo sapiens
GGATTGGTTTGCCAGTATTTTATTGAGGATTTTTGCATCAATGTTCGTCACGGATATTGGTCTAAAATCCTCTTTTTTTGTTGTGTCTCTGCCCGGCTTTGGTATCAGGATGATGCTGGCCTCATAAAATGAGTTACGGAGGATTCCCTCTTTTTCTATTGATTGGAATAGTTTCAGAAGGAATGGTACCAATTCCTCTTTGTACCTCTGGTAGAATTCGGCTGTGAATCCATCTGTTCCTGGACTCTTTTTTGTTGGTAAGCTATTGATTATTGCCACAATTTCAGATCCTGGTATTTGTCTATTCAGAGATTCAGCTTCTTCTTGGTTTAGTCTTGGGAGAGTGTATGTATCGAGGAATTTATCCATTTCTTCTAGATTTTCTAGTTTATTTGCGTAGAGGTGTTTGTAGTATTCTCTGATGGTAGTTTGTATTTCTGTGGGATCGGTGGTGATATCCCCTTTATCATTTTTTATTGCATCTATTTGATTCTTCTCTCTTTTTTTCTTTATTAGTCTTGCTAGCAGCCTATCAATTTTGTTGATCCTTTCAAAAAACCAGCTCCTGGATTCATTAATTTTTTGAAGGTTTTTTTGTGTCTCTATTTCCTTCAGTTCTGCTCTGATTTTAGTTATTTCTTGCCTTCTGCTAGCTTTTGAATGTGTTTGCTCTTGCTTTTCTAGTTCTTTTAATTGTGACGTTAGGGTGCCAATTTTGGATCTTTCCTGCTTTCTCTTGTGGGCATTTAGTGCTATAAATTTCCCTCTACACACTGCTTTGAATGTGTCCCAGAGATTCTGGTATGTTGTGTCTTTGTTCTCGTTGGTTTCAAAGAACATCTTTATTTCTGCCTTCATTTCATTATGTACCCAGTAGTCATTCAGGAGCAAGTTGTTCAGTTTCCAAGTAGTTGAGTGGTTTTGAGTGAGTTTCTTAATCCTGAGTTCTAGTTTGATTGCACTGTGGTCTGAGAGATAGTTTGTTATAATTTCTGTTCTTTTCCATTTGCTGAGGAGAGCTTTACTTCCAACTATGTGGTCAATTTTGGAGTAGGTGTTGTGTGGTGCTGAAAAAAATGTATATTCTGTTGATTTGGGGTAGAGAGTTCTGTAGATCTCTATTAGGTCTGCTTGGTGCAGAGCTGAGTTCAATTCCTGGGTATCCTTTTTAACTTTCTGTCTCGTTGATCTGTCTAATGTTGACAGTGGGGTGTTAAAGTCTCCCATTATTATTGTGTGGGAGTCTAAGTCTCTTTCTAGATCACTCAGGACTTGCTTTATGAGTCTGGGTGCTCCTGTATTGGATGCATATATATTTAGGATAGTTAGCTCTTCTTATTGAATTGATCCCTTTACCATTATGTAATGGCCTTCTTTGTCTCTTTTGATCTTTGTTGGTTTCAAGTCTGTTTTATCAGAGACTAGGATTGCAAACCCTGCCTTTTTTTGTTTTCCATTTGCTTGTTAGATCTTCCTCCATCCTTTTATTTTGAGCCTATGTGTGTCTCTGCACGTGAGATGGGTTTCCTGAATACAGCACACTGATGGGTCTTGACTCTTTATCCAATTTGCCAGTCTGTGTCTTTTAATTGGAGCATTTAGTCCATTTACATTTAAAGTTAATATTATTATGTGTGAATTTGATCCTGTCATTATGGTGTTAGCTGGTTATTTTGCTCGTTAGTTGATGCAGTTTCTTCCTAGTCTCGATGGTCTTTACATTTTGGCATGATTTTGCAGCGGCTGGTACCAGTTGTTCCTTTCCATGTTTAGTGCTTCCTTCAGGAGCTCTTTTAGGACAGGCCTGGTGGTGACAAAATCTCTCAGCATTTGCTTGTCTGTAAAGTATTTTATTTCTCCTTCACTTATGAAGCTTAGTTTGGCAGGATATGAAATTCTGGGTTGAAAATTCTTTTCTTTAAGAATGTTGAATATTGGCCCCCACTCTTTTATGGCTTGCAGAGTTTCTGCCAAGAGATCCGCTGTTAGTCTGGTGGGCTTCCGTTTGTGGGTAACCCGACCTTTCTCTCTGACTGCCCTTAACATTTTTTCCTTCATTTCAACTTTGGTGAATCAGACAATTATGTGTCTTGGAGTTGCTCTTCTTGAGGAGTATCTTTGTGGTGTTCTCTGTATTTCCTGAATCTGAATGCTGGCCTGCCTTGCTAGATTGGGGAAGTTCTCCTGGATAATATCCTGCAGAGTGTTTTCCAACTTGGTTCCATTCTCCCCGTCACTTTCATGTACACCAGTCAAATGTAGATTTGGTCTTTTCACATAGTCCCATATTTCTTGGAGGCTTTGTTCATTTCTTTTTATTCTTTTTTCTCTAAACTTCCCTTCTCACTTCATTTCATTCATTTCATCTTCCATCACTGATACCCTTTCTTCCAGTTGATCGCATCGGCTCCTGAGGCTTCTGCATTCTTCACGTAGTTCTCAAGCCTTGACTTTCAGCTCCATCAGCTCCTTTAAGCACTTCTCTGTATTGCTTATTCTAGTTATACATTCGTCTAAAGTTTTTTCAAAGTTTTCAACTTCTTTGCCTTTGGTTTGAATTTCCTCCTGTAGCTTGGAGTAATTTGATCGTCTGAAGCCTTCTTCTCTCAACTCGTCAAAGTCATTCTCCGTCCAGCTTTTTTCCGTTGCTGGTCAGCAACTGCGTTCCTTTGGAGGAGGAGAGGCACTCTGCTTTTTAGAGTTTCCAGTTTCTCTGTTCTGTTTTTTCCTCATCTTTGTGGTTTTATCTACTTTTGGTCTTTGATGATGGTGATGTACAGATGGGTTTTTGGTGTGGATGTCCTTTCTGTTTGTTAGTTTTCCTTCTAACAGACAGGACCCTCAGCTGCAGGGCTGTTGGAGTTTGTTAGATGTCCACTCCAGACCCTGTTTGCTTGGGTATCAGCAGCGGTGTCTGCAGAACAGCAGATTTTCATGAACTGTGAATGCTGTTGTCTGATCATTCCTCTGGAAGTTTTGTCTCAGAGGAGTACCCGGCCGTGCGAGGCGTCAGTCTGCCCCTACTGGGGGGTGCCTCCCAGTTAGGCTGCCAGGGGGTCATGGGTCAGGGACCCACTTGAGGAGGTAGTCTGCCTGTTCTCAGATCTCCAGCTGTGTGCTGGGAGAACCACTGCTCTCTTCAAAGCTGTCAGACAGGGACATTTAAGTCTGCAGAGGTTACTGATGTCTTTTTGTTTGTCTGTGCCCTGCCCCCAGAGGTGGAGCCTACAGAGCTCCTTGATCTATGGTGGGCTCCACCCAGTTCGAGCTTCCTGGCTGCTTTGTTTACCTAAGCAAGCCTGGGCAATGGCAGGCGCCCCTCCCCCAGCCTCGCTGCCACCTTGCGGTTTGATCTCAGACTGCTGTGCTAGTAATCAGTGAGACTCCATGGGCATAGGATCCTCCGAGCCAGGTGCGGGATATAATCTCCTGGTGCAGCGTTTTTTAAGCACGTGTGAAAATCACAGCATTCGGGTGGGAGTGACCTGATTTTCCAGGTGCCGTCTGTCACCCCTTTCTTTGACTAGTAAAGGGAACTCCCTGACCCCTTGCGCTTTCTGAGTAAGGCAATGCCTCACCCTGCTTCGGCTCGTGCACGGTGTGCTGCACCCACTGTCCTGCGCCCACTGTCTGGCACTCCTTAGTGAGATGAACCCGGTACCTCAGATGGAAATGCAGAAATCACCTGTCTTCTGCATCGCTCACTCTGGGAGTTGTAGACCTGAGCTGTTCCTATTCAGCCATCTTGGCTCCTTCCTAAAAACTGAAGGTTTAAAACAAAAATGCTTTATAGTACAATAATTTATTTGGCATCTTAATCAAATTATCTGAAAATAGTATTATAAATTCAGTTGTGTAATTAGATAATTCCTTTGCTTAAGGAAAAAAAGGGAATTCTTCCTAAAGTTCTTTCTCATTTAAGTTATTATGAATATAAAAATATCAATTTCCTTTGTATGTACTCTGTTAAATAGTGTTAGGCAATGATAGAGGGGAAAACAGAAACTTTAAAAAATACATACTAAAAAGTAATGTAAAACATGCTTTGTATTGATCCAACACCCCCCCACCCCACCACAAATATCTAAGAGAGAGATCTAATTCTGGATACACTCATTATTAAAATAAAATTTGTGGCACTTACCTGGTAGCTGAGAAACAATTTGTAACATTAAACACACTGAATTATTATATGGATTTTTAAGTTATTGATATTTTATTTATGTGTTTGATGAAAATATGTTCAATGCTTGAATTGTTTGAATACAGTTACATTTTATATTTTAATTCTTAGATCTTGTTAGTGGAAAAAATAACGTTCTAGTAGCCTATAAAAACAATTTGTGTTTTTGGTTAAATCATCTTTGATATTTTGTCTTTTCGGTCACACAAAGAACATAGTTTATACATATATTTTCATTTAAAAATTGTGAAAGTGAATTTGTCAAACTAGAAGAAAAATCATTTTTTATTTAACAATGTGTTAGCTTGATTTATAACTTTTAAATATTTAGACCCATGATATGTAGGCTTCAGTTTATATTCTTGCTCTGGGTCCCACAAATTTTAGAGGTGGGTCTAATGTGAATACATTCTTGATTGTATTTTTTTCCTTAGGCAAAGGAATTCTCTAATTACACAGCAAACTTCTAATACAAAGTTCAGATAATTTTATTAAGACACCAATTTTGGGGGCAGGTCTAATGTAAATACATTCTTGAATATTTGTTCACTACCTATTTTCTTAAAAATTTGTAAAATAGAGAACACATTTTGTGTGTACGTGTGTGTGTGTGTGAATTACTTAGATCTGTGTTGTCCTAGCAAAAGTACCTTTAGTGAAAGAAAATATGGTTCACTCAGTATTGTTTATTATCTTGGTAACAGACCACCACTTTAAAAAAATTTGTGTTACTAAATGTCTGAGTTATAGTGTTGCAAAATTTCAATGGGTTGAATTCTGCAAAGCAATTCCACAGGCCATGTACAGGCAGAGAGGAAATCAGAAGGACACCTGGGGAAGTGGGCAGGCGAGCTGGAGGATGTTCTCTTTGGGCTCAGGGTGTATCAGTTGCCTCTGTGCTGTATTTTGGTTGAGAACCAGTAAGAGTCTCTCCATTTGAAAATTTGGTGGTGGGCCTTCTATGAAATACAGATTTTTATATTTTTCAAAACAATAGTATTCTGGAAAATTTTACACAAACATATCTTTGTTTGTTTTTTGAGACAGAGTCTCTTTCTGTCCCTCAGGCTGAGTGCAGAAGTATGATTATAGCTCACTGTCACCTCAGCCTTCCAGGCTCAAGTGATCCTCCCACCTCAGCCTCCCCAGTAGCAGGGACTGCAGGCATGCACCACCACACCCAGCTAATCCAGCTGTATTAGTTCGTTTTCATGCTGCTGATAAAGACATACCTGAGAATGTGCAATTTAAAGAAGAAAGAAGTTTAATTGGACTTACAGTTCCACGTGGCCAGGGAAGCCTCACAATCAAGGCAGAAGGCAAGGAGGAGCAAGTCTCGTCTTATGGATGGAAGCAGGCAAAGAGAGAGAGAGAACTTGTGCAGGGAAACTCCCCTTTTTAAAACTATCAGATCATGTGAGACTCACTCACTATCACAAGAACAGCACAGGAAATACCCGCCCCAGTAGTTCAATCACCTCCCACTGAGTTCCTCCTGGGACATGTGGGAATTCTGAAAGTTATGATTCAAGGTGAGATTTGGGTGGGGATACACCAAAACCATATCACCAGCTAAATTTTTTTTTTTACATTTTGTAGACAGGGTCTCACCATGTTGTGCAGGCTGGTCTCTAACTTCTTTATTCAAGCAATCCAAGGTGGTGGGATTACAGGCATGGGTCATGGTCCCTGGCCAGATTTTTATTATGAATAACCAAAAAGCTAATGAAGTATGGAGAGAATGATAATCGCCTAAAATTCCCTACCCAGAGAAAAACTACTGTAGTATGCTTCTGTATATATGTTTCTAGACATGTGATTATATATATTTATACACATACATACACAAACACTTTTGATTGTATATTTTATTCCTCTTTTCATATACTGTGAACATCTATGCATGTCAATACAAATCTAAGATTGTATCGGTATATTCATACACCATACTATATTAACCTAAATTTATTTCACATTCTTAGATATCTAAGATGTTTTTACTTCCATGAAATCCTGAGGTAAGCATACTTTTACGTAAATCTTTAAAATCTTGTCCATTTATTACCTTAAAACATATTATGCAAAGCAGAATTACTGATTTCAAAATAAACGGGTGAATTCCCCAATTCACTGCCAATATTCTTTTTTACCCTTTACCAAATTGCCAATCTCAATGAAAACCTATAAACCTATAAAAATTATCGTTTTAATGCTCATGACTATAAGCAATTTTAGATAAGCTTTCATATATTTATGCGTATGTGCATTTATTTGTTAATTATTTATTCATATAATTTCACTATTCTTGTTTGGTGTCTTCAACCTGTCCTTATTTATTTATGAGTGTACCTTATATGGGAAAAATATTAAAACTTTGTCTCAATTTAACAAACTATGTATTGATCAATGCTCTGTTTTTGGCCCTATGGAGGGCACTGAAGAGACATAATAAGCAAAATAGACATGATGACTGAGCTGAGTGCCTCATTAAATGATCAAGCCAAGGGTGATAAAAGATAAAGAATGTTGTTCTTCACACCTGAAAAACTTCTTTAACCAAGACAATTACATTTTCATTGCTTTTGAATAAAAAAAAATCTGCCTTTATAATTCATATTGTTTTATTTTCCATTTTTTTCTTAATATAATACACTAACACAGTTTATTAAAAATATAAACCTAATTATTGTGGTTTAAAAATTCAAACATTATTAAGTAGTTTGCAACAAACTGCAGTAGCACACCCTGCCCTGTTCCTGACCACTCTGTACTCCCACTGTATGGAAGCAGCCACATTCATCACTGTTAGCTGTTTGAATAGTTGTTTGCCTTCATATTTTTAAGCAATACACTTAAAATTTTTTTCACTTTTTAATATTTTAATTTTTGATTTTTGTGGGTACATAGTAGGTGTATATATTTATGAGGTACATGAGATTTTTGATTTTCAAATTTAAGATACAAATTGATTTTTGTGCTAAGAAAGATGAGCTTTAACTCTCTTACCCTAACTCTGTTTTTTACATACATACACACTCTCAAATGCCTTCTATATCTTCTCAAAACTGTAATTTTTGTTTAAATAATTGTTCCGAGTTTCTTATGTGTATCCATTGTCCAGAGTTTCTCAGTCTCATCACTACTGACATTTTGGGCTGGATAGTTCGTTGTCGTGAAGGACTGTGGTATGCATTGTAGAATGCTTATCAGCCTTCCTAGCATCTATCCACTACATGCTAGAAGCACATCCCACATTGTGATAACAAAAAATGTCTCTAGACATCACCAAATATCCCTTGGGGTACGAAATTACCTCCAGTTGAGAAACACAACCTTAATTTTATAGATGATTACTGTTGTTATTAAGTATTGTTCACAACGGAACTACACATCATACAATTATTTTATTTTCCATACAAATTTTTTGGTGCGATCTTGGCTCACCACAGCCTCCACTTCCTGGGTTCAAGCGATTCTCCTGCCTCAGCCTCCCAAATAGCTGGGATTACAGGCATGCGCCATGACACTCGGCTAATTTTTTAATTTTGTTTTGTTTTTAGCAGAGACGGTGTTTAACAATGTTGGCCAGGCCTTGAACTCTGGAACTCAGTGATCTACCCGCTCAGCCTCCCAAAGTGCTGGGATTACAGTCATGAGCCACCATGCCTGGCTCACGTTTTGTTTTTATTGGAGTTAATTGCATTGTGTGTGTGTTTGCTTAGTTTTATACATAAATTCACTGTTAGCTACAAATACCTCTTAATATGTCAGAAGCATCAGTCATTCTATGAGTTCAATTTTCCCTGGGAGGAACTTACTCCAAAGTGCTCAGGTATACAATTGTCATCTTGCAAATTTTCTCCCTGTCATTCTAAGAATTGTCTTTGACTCTCTAATCTGATAAAGCCCACTTCCTGGATTCAAGTGTATTGGTTATAAATTGCACTTGACTGCTCCCAAGAGACACCAAAACAGCAATGACTTAAACAAGTAATCCATTGACTTTTGGCTGATATAGAAGTAGTAGAGAGCTAGTTCTATGCAGTTACGATAGCTCCAAAAAGTCATCAGGGATTCTGGCTCCTTCCCTTTCTCTGTGACAGAATACTCAGGCATGGCCTCTCTTCTGAAAGTCATGAAATATTTGCTGGATCTTAGATGTCACATGTATATTCAAAGCAGGAAGTGGGAAAGAGGTAGAGAGAAGACAAACAGTTCTTGTCGGCTGTTGGTCTCTCTTTGAAGGAACTATTTGAAAGTGTCAGCTTAGGACGGGTACGGTGGCTCACGCCTGTAATTCCAGCACTTTGGGAGGCCAAGGAGGTTGGATCACGACGTCAGGAGTTCAAGACCAGCCAGGCCAAGATGGTGCAATCTAGTCCCTCCTAAAAACACACCAAAAAATTAGCCAGGCATGGTGGCGGGTGCCTGTTATCCCAGCTACTCGGGAGGCTGAGGCAGAAAATTGCTTGAACCTGGGAGGTGGAGGTGGCAGTGAGCCAAGATCGCACAATTGCACTCCAGCCTGGGTGACAGAGTGAGACTCCCTCTCAAAAAAAAAAAAAAAAAAAAAAAAAGTCTTTGCTTAGATGTCATCCCCTATGCCTTGTGAAATGAAATAGGGGATTCTGATACAGTCTTTTGGTTGGGCATTGCTATCTGGACTAAATTCAAGTTGCATTCCTATGGAAGAGGAGGAGTGGATATTGGGTGAGAAGTTGGTAGTGCCACACCAAGGCTTTCTGTCTTTTTATTTACTATGTTGGTAGAGCATATTCATTTGTATCTTCCTGAGATGGTGAGAATACATTTTTTGTTTATTTATAATAATATATTATTTTTATTTATTATTATTTAATTCCACAGTCTGAAAATGTCTTTAGTTCATGCTACATGTACTTAATAGTTTGGTTTTGTATAAAATTTGATATTAGAAATTATGTTCTCTCAGATTAAAATGTTGAAACCATTCCTGCATTGTCTTTCGGGTTTCAGTGTTGCTACTGAGAAGGCACATATAATTCTGATTCCTGATTCTTTGTTTGTGATCTATTTATCTCCCTAGATGCTTTTAGAATGTTTCCATCATCTTTATTATTTTTAAATTTCATAATAATTATGTTGGCTTGGATCTTCTTCATTCATTGTGCTGGGTACCCTAGGGATCTTTTCAGTGTGGAAACTCAATTTCTTTTGGGAAATTTTTTTGTAGTATTTCTTTGATAATTAACTGCCCTCTACTTTTTTAATGCTTTGTTTCTAGATGTTAGAGCTCTAATTATTTAAATGTTGGAACATCTAGATTGATCCTATAATTTTCCTTCTTTTTTATATTTTTTAGTTATTTTCTTTTTGGTTCTGTGTTTCTGATAATTTTCTCAATTTAAACTTTAACCTTTCTCTTGAATTTCTCATTTCTGCTGTCCTGTTATATTTTCTTTTCTGTTCTCTGTTTCAATTTATAGCAATCTATTTTTATACTGTCATTGCAATAACTTCCATTATCTCTGAGAACATTAATGATAAAGTTTTAGTGTTTCCTTTTGCTCTCTCCAGTAACTTGGAAGGGTACTGTGTCTCCAAGCTACTGGAGAGAGCAGAAGAAAATACTAAAACTTTATCATTAGTGTTCTCTTTTTTTATGTTTTATTTTCCTTTTGTATTCCTTTTCTGTTTTTCATTGAAGGATGTTTTTCAAAATCTTGTGATGTTTTGATAGCCTATTTCTTTATAAGACTTAGAACTTAAAAATATTTGTGAGTTCTCTTTTTGTGCAAAATATGTCATCTTTCTATAATACTGTCAAGTAGGAACTTGGCTATGTCATTTGGATAAGCCCAATATCAGTATCTGTAAATCTGTTTTCTGGTTCTGATCAGAGTACCTCTGGTTGACCATTATAATCTATTGCCCAGGAAAGGAGTATAAACTTGGCTGTTTGGATTCTAGGAGCAGAGCATGAGAAGTGGGCTGGGAGTTTGCTTTTAGAATGCAAAATTCAGTTAATTTTCTTGTTTTCAAAATGGTGCAATATTCTTGCCCTCATCTGTGCAGCCTCATATCCATGGGTTAACAGTTTTCAAATGTTCTAGAAACTTATTCCATATTTCTTCATGTTGCAGGAAAAGATATGAGGGTCTGAAATCTCTTTGTAAAGACTTTCAACACATTTTCTCTTTTTGAGACCCATTTTTTACTTCCTCCTACACAAATATCTGCACTTCCAGTTACTGAGTCTCTTGTTCATTCTCTGGCTAAAATTGTCTTCTTCAGTTTTGTTTTTTCCCATGCAGGTCTTCAAGTTTCACCTATCTTCCTTTACTAAAACAGTTACCACTCATGAATCATATTTCCATCTTCTCTATGTCTTTATAGTTATGCCTTATGTACTCTGGTTAATACTCTCATTTGCTTTGCCCTGTGTCTTATCCATGTTTATCGATTTATTTTAGTTTTAGTGATAGTCCTGGAAACTGCAGATATAAATGTGTCCGATCTGTCATGTTTATCAGGGTTCTCATTAGTTTGTTATAACTTCCATAGGTAATATTTATATGGCCTCAAGTATGTGAAGAAAAAGTGCATTTTAATGTAGCCAGGTTAATGCAGCAATATGAACTTTGAGTTGACTTCAAGGGCTTGTCTAGCTGATGGTGTTTTGTCAGTTAGTGTCATGAATTGTTTGCCCACAAACATGGGGGATTGCATATTTAATCCCCATTTAAGGTGTTTTTTTTTTTTTTTATCATGATAGCTCATGTAGCTGTTATCTTTATTCAATTCAGCAAGTCAAAGATGCCACGATATGTTAGATGCTCATTTGATTATCTGATAAAATGTAATTTGGAGCTAGTGTACTTTTTATCTCTTCCACCTTTCACTTCTAAACTAAATTTCACATTAGCTATCATGAATAAGAAATATTTGAGTTATCTTATCTCATTTTTAGTCTTGAGTTGAAATTCAGTGAGAAACACTGGGGATCTTCCAAATAGCTCTTTTAAGTGGAGAAGCTCCCCCTGAACAGGTTACAGCACACTAGCACAACAAGACAATGTTAGGAAAAGAGAGGAGAAGTATGGAAAAACCTATCTGCAGTGGTCAGAGTATATTTCTAATTTTCTAACATATGACTAATGTGGAGGATTCCCTATTCCAGCTATTTTTAGGAATTGCATTGCCTAACTCGCGAGGAACTATGCAACATGCCTTTGGTCATAAATTTACTGAAGTTGTCTTATTATTTGAATTGTCCTGAATCTGTAGTACACTTTGCACTTTGCCTAAACTTAGTTCAATATCTGCCTATTAAGTGCAAGTCATTTCTCAGATGACACAGCATTTGAAATGCCATTGTGGGAATAAGTAGTTGCATTTGAGATTTTATTTCCATAATGCATCAGTGGAAAGCTGCAATAAAATATAATATGGTTTAATCCCTGAATAAGGAAAATTACTTCATTTCAGCCACTATACCTGGTGTCTTAAGGAAATGCTAACTCATATTATTAAGAGGTACATTGTATTGTATCTGTTAAGAGCAGACAATTTTTTTGCACTCTGATTAAATAGATTCTATTTCGTGGGTTAAGCCAAAACAAGATGATAACAGCAAAGAGATTTGGTTTTGAGTTTTCAGATGTTAAGGAAAACAAAAATAGAAATGCAGGGAAGTTTATTATTTTTAATTTTTCAACAATAAAAAGATACAAGGAAAACTTTTTTCTTGGGAAAAAATAAATTTGCTTTCTGGGTTGTTGTACAGGGAACATCTAGGAATAAAATCTTCAAACATAAAGAAACACTGTCCAAACTAATGGTTCCTGTATCGACCCTAAATAGAGGATAAGAACATTACATTAAGTTGTGTCTCAGTGAAAGCAATTCTTTGAAGGGCTGAGATAATGTGGTAAATGTGCTTTACTGTCTGACGGCTTAATATAGGAATGGATCTTGGGGAATCAGACAAAAGGATGTCAGCATACCCACTAGGCTCTTTCCAGTACCATGAGTAGAAAGAAGCTTAAGATTCTGCAGAATTTCTATTGAAAATTAAGTTCTTCCTTGGACATTCAGGAATATGGAAGGGTTATTTAACTGTGAAGTAATCATAGCTACATGGTGTATTTCATATAATGGAAATTCTTTTATGTTTATACCTTGCAATGTACTCTCAAATTTATTTCCTTGGTATGAGGAAAGATACTCATTCTTGATTTATTGCTCCTACAAAAAATTATATTATTGTTGATATCCACAGGAAGCTGAATATTCAGAAAATAGATGAGTAAATTGGAAACATTTTTATATATTTTTAAAATAACTCCCCAATAAAAATAATACATTTAAAGATGAGTGGGTCTGCAATTTATAATATAATTATTATTTTCTTCTAAATTTAATGTTAAAAATTTAGACAACATTATCTGGTTTTCTGTATTGGAAATTAGAGTTGATTTCTCTAGATCTCCCTATAGTCATTGTTTGTAAACCGTAATGTGTGGCCATCTGCCTGTTCGACTGAAGGTCCCGGGGGTATTTAAGAGGACCTATCTCTCCTGTTTGCCCTCATCCTTTTTATTTCCCAGAAAGAACATGGTCAGCACTCAGTTTTGAAGAAATTCAAGCATTCTTAGTTCAGAGACGGGTAGATATGATGGAAAAGGAAGGGAGAAGAGAAAGTTCAGAAGCCATGCAGATGTTTTAAACACACCTTATATCAAATCTCCATACCTATTTTCCATCAAGCATAAAATGTAGATGTAAACTCATGTGATTCTAACTGCTCATCACCACTGACTCATTTATCTGTCTACCTGAACATACACATATACATGATACAATATATGTAAAAGAATGTGCTTAATACTTTCATTTTGTTGATTTCTTCTGGATCCCCATATACAGCATAGAATTTAACAAATTCATTTAAACAAAATTTCAATATATTTTACTTCTTTGCCACTAACTACAACTGGAAGCTGGAACTAAATATGTATTTGTGGATGGCCGTTTGTCCCTAGAAAAGCAATTTGCATCATGTTGTCAATAGGACTGACTGCGTGTAAATGCAATATGTTTGGATTTTGATGTAGAAATTAGAGTGTTATCTCTAAAATAGATTTATCTCACTTCACACTATTAAAAATACTTCAAGTTCTTGAGACCAAAGCAAGCTTATTGAAAGAATCTGAGTGGTTTTATTTCCATGAGTTCTGGTCACAGAGTAAAAGAACATCATCAAGTGAGTGGTAATAAAAATAGGTCTTAGAATTTACAAATTTTATTTCCTTCATTTGTGTTTGTAAGGTACGTCTAGTGAGGTTATAAGATAAAGACTGGGCTATATTCATATGTATATGTATCATTGGACTGTGAGTTCTTTAAAGGCAGGCTCCATAACATGTATGACTTTGTTCATAGGAAGTATTTTCATAAAATAAAGGTTTCAGTAGTGCTTAGTGACTGACTGAATAAACATCTCCAAAATATCTGGACAGCATAATTAATTTGATCTTTTAAAATGACTTAATGACCCATAGGGATAGCTTATGGTCAAATAAATTGGTGTTTATCAGATATACATCCAAAAGGGGTGAAGGGACTTGTTTTGCTTCAGTGGTAATTTTTTATAAGGCCTTCTACTCATCTGAATTAAAGTTTAAATCAATATTGTAACCAAAATATTATGGAGTTTTACTTTCTTGTTGCTAGTTCATTTGCTTTTTTGTCTACTGATTGATTTTTGAAAATTACTCTGAACTCAATACAATATTTCCTACCTCATTAAAGATTCTGGATGACAAGGCCTTGATTGACAAATGTCAATGGCAGTTAGTTTTGGTTGTTTTTAACGTATTTGCCTAGCATTAGGGACCTCAATTTCTTTTAAAATATTTCAAGTATGTTTTCACAGAAACTCTTAAAGATAGACCAAGATGATTATAACATCAGGGTCATTTTGCAAGGGTAAAATTCTTAACTGAATTTATTTAACCTGAAGATTCTGGTCAAATGCCAGGTCAGATAGTTGCTCTTTGTTCTTTAAATTTCCTTCCTGGGTTAGAATGCATTTGCTTAATTTTTAATATCTGGGGTGGATAATTGGTGAATATTGGTGATGCTTTATTACAGATATAATATGGTTATGTGGGAAGTGATATGGTAAAAAATTGCGGAATATTTTGTATTTATGCTTAATTTCTGGGAGTGAAGAAATTCATGGCACTGTGCTTTCAGTTTGGTGGAAGTAGAATACAGAGTAAAACATCCTGATGCTTGCTTATCTTGAAAAGAAGAAATGGGGCACCTTCAGATAAAATGAGACAGTATATGTCAATTATTTGTAAGCCAAAACAAGCAAATAAAATCATTCATTTTTGCAGATGTTAGTTGTGATAGTGTCAGGGATACAGGAGGGTTTCCTATTAGTTTATTATGTGACTAAAGAGCAGAGGCAACATTGCCTCCTGGTTAGAGTATAAGTTTTGGAGTTATACAGCATTAGTTTTAATTCTCAGTTCTCCTTCTTATTAGTTGTATCTACTTAGGCAAGTTGCTTTTTTTGTGTCTGGCTTGTAATAGTTCCTCAATAAACAGTAGCTATTTTCATTAGCATCGTTAGCAACAAGTAACTGAGGATCTTTCTGGAATAGCCACAATATTCCAATCCGTATTTTTGTTAAACATTTTTGGATAAAGTCAGGTTGAATATTTTGTTAGGGTTCTTTGTTCTGTGATTTTTCCTTGCTCAATTAGCTAGATATTCTTTACCCTTGGTGAAGAAAAACAGAAACCTTAAGGATTAGAGATACAAGCATTTGTATATTATATCTCATTTTTGTTAGATGTTTTAATAGAAGAAACTTTTTTTTTCTTTTTTCTCCTGGCCTAGGAGAAATTTTGGTCACACAGTCAGCAAAATGGTGATGGTAGCTGTGATGGAAGTTGTGACTGCATGGTTTCAGAGGTGCCCCCATTGGTCAATGTGTCTTGGGACATTCAGTTTTGGCTTACCTTCCAGGAGTATGTCCAATCTTTTGGCTTCCCTGGGCCACATTGGAAGAAGAAGAATTGTCTTGGGTCACACATAAAATACACTAACAACAATAGCTTCTGAGAAAAAAAAATCTCATAATATTTTAAGAAAGTTTATGAATTTGTGTTGGGCCTCATTGAAAGCCGTCCTGGGCTGCATGTGGCCTGAAGGCTGCGGGTTGGACAAGCTTGTTCAGACAATATTGCCTGGTTAATTTTACATAATGGGAGCAAGTAAAGTTGAACATGGAGGAGTAAGGTCTGGAGGTTTCTTTCTTTTTCATATTTTAAGGATTAGGGAGATGATATATAAAATGATCAAGTCCAAAAAATATATGCTTTATCAATTCCTGAGATTACATTGAGACTTAGCTATTTGATTTTGAGGTCAGAAATCCTAGCTTTGTTGTTTTTTAGCTGTAGGACCTTGTATGAGTTACTGAAATTTTCTAAACATGTGTCTTCATCTATAAAATGTTAATAATATATCCCACATTGTTTTAAGTTTTATCTAGAACACTGTCACCTAGGTAATGCGTGAAAAATGCTTGATTCTATGCATGGTACATAATGTCTGTTCAGAAAAGGATTGGTGCCTGAACAAAGTTTTTGAGGATTTAGAAAGCAAAAAGACAACTAATAGTTCTTTAATGATCACATACTGTATATGAGGTATAGTATTGAACGATTATTATATACATTTATCTCATTTAATCCACATACCTTGTGTTAAGTAGGTCTTATTACCTTCATTTAACAAATAAGAAAACAGAGTCTCAGGCTGGTTAAGTAACTCGTTAAGTCACACAGCTAGTGGCTGATAATGCCAAAGTGTTGCTTACTTTGTCTATTATCGGACACTAAATTCTATTCTGATAGAATATACTGTATTCCTGGGTCTGTTTCTTTGCTGTCACCAAAATATCTTCATTGTTTCTTATTGATTAATGTATTCCTTCCTCTTTCGAGCCTGTATGCTGTCATTATCCTATATACCTGGTTGATTTAAGGCTGGTAAACATGTATCTGCCTATTTTAACTGTCGGAAAATCCATGTTAATGATTTTCTGGTTAGCAAGCATAGTAAGAAGGGATGTGATTTACAGGTCATTTTGCAGCATTATTGTTTAACTTCAAAAGCAAACATCCATTTTATGTGCATTTAATAAGCAAAATACCAGTGTTATCATATGTCTTGATATCCTCTTGAAAAGACATCAACGTAACAGAGATTTATTAATATTTTTCTCATTAAATCACATACAGCTTTATTCTACACAAAGGTAAGTTCTGCTTATCTATGGCAGAATCAGACATGGCTGAAAGATGAAGTTATTCATAGATGCCAGGGAGTATTAATAATATGGCACCCAAGAGTGGAATTATCTCTGCATCCACCTGCCAAAAGACTTGCAGTGAAGGCACAGAAAACCAGAAATCCTGCAGCTACACCAACATGACAACTCTAAAATGATTTGAAAGTAGAAAAAAAGAGAATTACTGAATTTTGAGATATTCTGATATGTCAGTTACAGCCTTGGCCAACTCCAATTTTTCATAGAAAGTGGAGAATTCGGACATGCAGACAGTTAAATTAATGTCATTCTCCCTCCTCCCATTTGTCATGTAATTTGTATTTTCTATTTGAAAATGGTTGGTAGGTATTGTAAAGCAAATATTTCATAAACTTAACTAGAAAAACCTCTCATACAAAAATGCAAGTAAATTGGGTGTTTCAAACAGTACTTAAGCTTAAAAAGCTTCAAAATAACCTTACTTAATGTCTCAAGATACGCAACACAAAAACAAATTGCTTTTTATTTTTCAGGTTATAGAGAGCATAAAAATCAAACTGCCAATTATTCCAGAGTTTTACTTTTAATGCTCCATAGATAGTACCTAGGAACCAAATTCCTTAAACTTTTGCTTAGCTCTCATTGAGCAGAATTTAAGTAGACTTGGGAAAACCAAAGATGATCTTGGTCTTTTGGGTATTGTCCCTTTTAACCCCTGATCGTTACCAGTCACATACCCTGCCCAAATCTCAGCAAATAGCACGACGTCAGCAAGAAAATAGGAGTGGTCCAACACAAATTCTCTCAGCTATTTGCCCCACTCCCCATACATTTACCTACTTCTGTATATTCCAGTTACAAAGGGAGAAGCATCAAGTCTGACTCATTTTCTGGTGCTCTGTATCCCATTCTCTCCTTCCACCTCAATTTTCTTGTTCCATCTGTAATCATTCACTTTCTTCTTTGCTATAAATCCATCTCTTTTCACTGGCTTTTTTTTCAGTTTATAAATATTCACTCACTCAACAAATATATACTAATCTACACAGGGATGGGCTCATTTCTAGGCACTAAAGATAGAATATTGAATGAATAAACAGTTAAATTCTGGCAGGTGGAGGACAAGATAAGTAAATAGAAATATAGCAGATGGTGATAGGTACTACTGAGGGGTTCATAATATGGTGGTCTGAAAAGGCTTCACTGAGAAGATGGTTTTGCAGAAAGATAGTTGTACCATGGAGGTAAGAATACAAAGCACACAGATCTGGGGAAAGAGAATTTTATAAGAGGTAACAGTATAAAGATCTTAAGAGAGGCACATGCCTGCCATGTGTGAAGAATGTGGCAGCCAAAGAGTCTTGAACAATTGGTGAAAGAATAATAGAAGGAGGTGGCACAGATCATGCAGGGCTTTGTAGCCAATTATATGGATTTTAGTTTTGATTCTAAGTGAGAAAGGGAGCCATTGGAGGGGTATGAGGAGGGAAAGTTGTGATCTGATTTGGTTTTTATCAACATCTTTTAGCTTCTGTGTGGTAGCTTCCCTGGGTTTTCCAAAGGCCATGGAGGGTTGAGGGCAGAAGCAGGAAGATTAACTAGAAGACCATCACAAAATCCAAGGGAGAGTTGAGGTTGGCTTGGGCAAGAGTGGTGATGGTAGATTTGGTAAGAAGTGGTCATAATATGGATAGTTTTAAAATAGAGTCGATAAGATTGGGTGATAGCGTATATGGTGTAAAATTGTGGACTGAAGAATGGCATAGGCTTACTGGGACTTCTGTTGTACACTGGAATGTGGAAAGCTGGAAAAAGCATTGCTCTCATGTTCACAACAGCAAAAAAGTCAGATGACCTACAAATTTACGCCTTTTCTCAAATCCATCAGAGAGCTGATATTGCAGAGCAACTGATTTCTCTGAAATCTAAGCAAATATGGGTGTCTGCAAAGAGATATAGGACACAAGTATTTGCTTATATGTGGAAGATTCACCAGGTGCTATAAGAGGAATTTAGCTAAAATTAAGGAATTGGAAAGGACTAAGTGTGGACCAGAAGAGAATATAGAACCCCTGAGTTCCAAAATTACTAGGGAATTTGCACCCACTTATGTAGGCTGTCCTTCATGGACCTCACTGCATACTCACAAAAAGATTGGTGGGAATCTTAAGAAAGTGTCCCTCTTGGTGTAGGCTTGGAGGGTTGTGAAGAGCGATTACCTTGAGAAAGGGACAAAAACCTCCTAAGATTTTTCTCCTTTATATCATATTAAACTTCTGGGGCTGGAGGTGGCAGTGGGGCAACAAACACCATCAAACTTAGGATATTTGTATAAACAACTTCATTTGGGAGAAGGGGAAAGAAAAACCTTATAATCCAGGGGGAAGTAAAGGATTATGAACTTTTATTGTTAAAAATTAGATATAAAATTTAAATTTCTGATAGAAATAGTTTTGGGCCTGAGGAACTGGTAGAACTCAGTAACCATTAACTAAAATTGTGAAGATGTAGGGGAGGGTAGGATTGATGAGGATGATCAATAGTTTAGTTTTTTGTATACTAAAAAATGACCCTTACACAAACCCCACTTTGTGTAAGGGTCTCCTCTACTTACCTGTGGTCTCCTCTAGCTATGCTTCTAACATCTTCACATCCCAAGGCTAAGGGTCAACAAAGAACTGTTGTTAAATCCTCTGCTCCACACTTTATTGGCTTTAGCTTGTATTTTCAGATATGCTCCTGTGATATTCACTTGAGCTTATCTTACTTTCCTTATTTTGACTCTTGGTAATGTTTTAGGACTCTGGCTAAATCATCTCTGACTCCTTTTGCTTCCCACTGCTTAGAGTGAAATGCCCCACTCAACCTCAATCCTCAGAACCCCCAAACTGCTGCCCATATGCAACATTTTTTAGTAAGGTCTACCCAGAAGAATCACTTACTCTCTGGTTTACACTCTTATTATAGCTCACTCATGATTAAATGAGGTATAATATGCAAAGAATTTAGTGCAATAATTGGCATGTCATAAACTTCTAATAAATGCTAGTTGTTTGTATTAATAAAACTGTTTTTCTTATCTTTTTCTTGTTATTATTACATTGCTGTATTTGTTCCACTTCACCTTTTGGCTTCCCCCCACCCCATCTGTTTTGTATTGTTATTCACTATTGATAAATATGATCAATATGATCACTAGCCCCCAAGTTACTCAAGTTATAAAACTGGAGTTGTCTTATATTTGTGTATCTTTCTCTAGCTTCCCCCAGTCCTTAACTACTATGAAGTCTACTTCCCGGATATCGATAATATTTTTCGCATCCTTTCTATTCCTATTGCTCTTATCTCTTCATACCTTACATGAGCTAGTGTAATAGTTTCCCAATGGAATTCTTTTTCTCTAAAGCATCTCCAACCAAGACTTCATAAATGTATTTCCAAGATACAAATATGATCTAATATTTAAAATACTTTATTCCTTCTCAGTAGGAAGATTGTGAAGCCTTTCATTGTATCCTCTCTTCCAGTATCCATCCTTATCTGATTACTTCAAAAAATGCACTAATCAATGCCACACTATTTGCAATTTTTCCTATCGTTTATATCTTTTTGCTTGTGTGTGTATGTGTATACACATTTGAATAGGACAGTATCTCCAGTTTGTTGGGGTGAACACAACTGAAATGCCACCTCATGTGTGAAGCCTTCGCTGATACTGACATCCTGTTTCTCTAGTGACAACATTCCATATATTCCATCTTATGTGGCACTCTATTTGGTACTTAACTGCATTTTAAAATACTCATGTGTCTATTTTCTTCACTAGGTTGTGAGTCCCTTGAATTTAGACATGGCTGGCTTCTTATTAGTCTGTTTCTTTAACCTGTGGTTCAACACTGGACACATGTAAGGTTCAATGTAAAAATTACTGATTGAATAAATATGATATATTGAATAAGTAGAATCGACTGAGTTAGGTTCACAAATCTTCCATGAATCTTTCCAGACTTATAATTCAATACTGCATTGAATTTACCTAAAGACAAGTGATATAATTTGGATATTTGTCCGTGCAAATGTCATGTTGAAATGTAATCCCCAGTGGTGGAGGTGGGGCCTGGTGGGATGTGTATGGATCATGTAGGCATATCTCTCATGAATGACTTAGCGCCACCCCCTTGGTGATGAGTGAGTTCACATGAGATCTGATTGTTGAAAAGTGTGTGGCACCTCCCTTTCTCATGCTTCTGCTTTCACCATGTGATGACCCTGCTCCCAGTTTGTCTTCATAAGTAAAAGCTCCCTGAGGCCTCCCCAGAAGCTGAGCAGAGGCTGGTGCCATGCTTGTATAGCCTATGGAACTGTAAGCCAATTTAATTTTCTTTATAAATTTTCTTTATAAATTACCCAGTCTGAGGTATTTCTCTATAGCAACATAAAAGTGGCCTAATACAACAAAGATCAACTTTTAAAATTTATTCAAATTATCCAGATGTAGAAAATATACCAAGTATTATGTCATTTCTTCATTTTCAAATTATTAAACTTATCAGTAAATTCTTTTCCTAAATTTGCTAGCATTGTAGTACACATAGTTCATAGGTATTTATAAGTTTAACTGTTTATATACACATGACTTATTCTCCTTTAAAGTAATGATAGAAATATGAACTGGCTATCAATCTTTAGCTATAGAGAAATACCTCTGTACATAAAATGTAATTCTATACTTGAGAAGGTTGAGATTTTATCTACTATAAATTTATTTGAAGATGTGATGAAAACATGGTCAGTAATGAAATTCTTTAGCAAGAAATCTTGGATAAAAAGAGATGAATTAAAATACCCAAGAATTACCCCTTGCTCACAGAGGTTATTTGACCCCTTAATTTGGATATATCAAGACCTAAAATTGAATTTTGAATGGACTGCTACCAGGTAGTAACCAAATTACATTATTTAAGCAGATATCTTTTTGCTTTCATATTTTATAGACTGGATTTGTAATCCTTGCTTCTGAAGAGTTACAATAAGAATATCATTGGACTCAAAAAATCAAACAACAGTTTTGACTACCTACTCTGTGCAATATACTTGAGAGGGATGAAACAGAAAGATTCTCTGCTTCTGATATGCTTATAGTTTGGTGTTAAGACAAAACTATAATTACTACTCTTTATTTTGAGACTACAACCAACAATCATACTAAATGTTGATGTGTCAAACACTGAGTGAAGACATTTAAAGAGATTATTAAATTTAATCATAATGAAAAACATTATGTAGTAGATGTAGATCACCCCTCTTTGTTCAAAGGGAAAACTAGTGCCTGAAAATGTTAACAAATATTCCAAGTCAAACAGTTATTAAGTAATAAAGCTGGAATATCTATCCAGACAGTCTGACACTAGAACTTGTTCTTTTGACCGCCACAGCCTATTGCTTCCCTAAGCATCAGAAATAGAAAGTGAGAACCGTTCAAAAGCATGTTAACCAAATCATAATTCAATATAACAGCCAAGAAATATTGTGGGCAGTACATGATTAATTAACACAAGAATGGCAATGTGTGCCAGTTTGAGAGCCCAGCCCCCAAAGGACTATGACCTGCCCTAGAGCTGATACCACTGCTGCCACTGCTGCCACTGCCAAACCAAAGGAGAGGGGAGGCCAGGCACTTCTATGTGCTCCGAGGACAAATACCACTGCCACTGATGTGAGCTGGCGTGGGACTGAAGCATGAGCAAACCATTCCTTCTACAGCTGCCTGATTACGCTGCTTCCAGTGAGAATGGTCCAGTCCTCCCTGGTGGCAGGTCCATAGTGCAGCTGTTCCACTGCTGGCCTTGGGATCCTGTGGCTGAATGTCTATATTTGTTGCTAGACTTGGAAACTTTTCATCTATTGTTTCATTAAATGGGGTTTTCTAACCCTTTTAGTCTCTCTTCTCCCTTGGGAACACCAATAACAGGATTATTCAGTCTCTTTATGGTGTGTCAAATGTCATAAAGGCTTTGCTTATTCTTTTTTATTCCTTATTCTTTATTTGTTCCTGAGTTATTTCAAATAATCTGTATTCAAGTTACAAAACTCTTTTCTTTTTTTTTTGCTAGATCTTGTGTGTTTTCAAAGCTTTTAAATGTATTTTGTATTTTATTCAATGAATTCTTCAGTTCCAGAATTTGTTTCCTTTAAATAATATCTATATCTCTGATAAATTTCTCATTAATATTTTTAATTATTTTTCTGATTTCTCTGTATTATTTTTCAGAATTCTCTTGTATCTCCCTGAGCTTTTTTAAAACCAGTATTTTGAATTCATTATCCTGGATTTCATGAATTTCTTTTCGACTGGGAACTGTTGCTGGAGAATTATTGTGTTCCTTTAGGGGTGTCATGTTTTCTTGCTTTTTTATGTTCCCTATGCCCTTAATTTGATATCTGTACAGTCTGTGCGGCAGTCACTTCTTCAAATTTTTTGAATTTGCTTGTGTGTGGGAAAACCCTTTCCTGATGATGTATATGTGTTGTTGGTTGGGTCAGGTATTTTGGCTTTGATTTGGGGTGCATGCAGTAGTGTAGCCTGTGTATGATATTTCTTCTGCTGTAAATGATGTCAGTGGTATCTGTGACTTCCTTTGTGGCTTGGAGTAATTATGTAATGATAAAGGGATCAATCCAGCAAAAGAATATAACAATTCTAAATTATATGTACTCAACACTGGAGCATCCAGATTGATAAAACAAGTAACACTACATCTAAAGAGAGAGATTTCTGCCACGTGCAGTGACTCACACCTGTAATCGCAGCACTTTAGGAGGCTGAGGTGGGCGGATCACTTGAGGTCAGGAGTCAGAGACCAGCCTGGTGAAAACCTGTCGCTACTAAAAATACAAAAATTAGCTGGGCATTGTAGTGGCCACCTGTAGTACCAGTTACTCGGGAGGCTGAGCCAGAAGAATTGCTTGAACCCAGGAGGCAGAGGTTGCAGTGAGCAGAGGTTGGGCCACTATACTGCCACCTGGGTAACAGAGCAAAACTCTGTCTATAAATAAATAAGTAGGTAAATAGAGAGATTGCATTAGAATAATAGTGGCAGGCTTCAATCCCTAACTCTCAGCATTAGATAGATCATCTAGACAAAAAAATCAACAAAGATAAATTAGATTTACACTAGATGCTAGACCAAATGTACCTAATAGACATTAACAGAACATTCTACCTAACAACTGAAGAATATACATTCTTTTCAATAGCACATGGAATATTTTCCAAGATAGAACATATGCTAGGCCAAAAAAATAAATCTCAGTAAAGTGTAAGAAATTGAAATCATATCAAGTATCTTCTCAGACTACAATGAAACAAAACTAGAAATCAGCACCAAGAGGAATCTTTAAACTATCCAAATATGTGGAAATTAGACAACATTCTCCTGAACAATTATTGCATCAATAAAGAGATTAAGATGAAACTCAAAAAATTTCTAAAATGAAAATGGAAATAAAACATAGTCAAACCTGTAAGATACAGCAAAAGCAATGACAAGAGAAAAGTTTGTAGTAATAAATGCTTACATCAAAAAATTAGAAAGATTTCAAATAACCAATCTAATGATGCACCTTAAGGAACTAAAAAGGTAAGAACAAATCAAACTCCAAATTAGCAGAAAGAAAGAAATAATAAAGACCTGATGGAACTAAATTAGATAGAGACTATAAATATATAGAAAGTCAACAAATCTAAAAGTTGGTTCTTTTAAAGTTTAGTTAATGATTGATGAATCACTAACTAAAATAGTGAAGAAAAGATGAGAGATGACTCAAATAATTAGAAAATAAAAAAGAGACATCATTAAAAATGATACCACAGATATTAAACTCTGATGATACAAGATCATCGGAGACTATTATGCACAACCATATTCTGACAAAAATGAAAAACCTATAGGAAATGGATAAATTTCTGGAAACATATAAGATTGACTCAGGAAGAAATAGAAAACCTAAACAGACCAATTATGACTAGTGAGATTGAATCAGTAAATAAAGTCTCTCAATAAAGAAAAGCCCAGGACTGGATGGATTCACAGTTAAATTCCACAATTAAACAAAAACTAATACCAGTCCTCCATAAACTATTCCAAAAAATTATAGGGGAGGGAAATCTCTTTAAATTATTATATTAGGTCAGCATTATGCTGATATCAAAGCTACATAAGGATACAACAAATAAAGAAAACTACAGGCCAATATCCCTAACCTAGACACAGAAATCTTCAACAAAATACTAGCAAACAAAATCCAGTACCATATTGAAAAAATAATATACCATGACCAAGTGGGATTTGTGCCAGAGATGCAAAGATGGTTCAACATATGCAAATCAACAAATGTGGTATATCATGTCAAAAGAAAGAAGGACAAAAACCATACCATCATCTCAATAGATACAGAAAAATCATTTGATAAAATTCAACATTGATTCCTGATTTAAAAAACTCTCAACAAACTAGGAATAGAAGAAACATAACTCAACATAATTAATGCAATATTTGACAATCCCACAGCTAACATCATATTGAATGATGAAAAGCTGAAAGCCTACCTTCTAAGGTCTGGAACAGGACAAGGATGCCTGCTTTCACCATTCCTGTTCAACACAGTATTGAAAGTTCTACCCAGAGAAATTAGGCAAGAGAAAAAAATAAAAGGCATCCAAATGGAAAAAAAGGAAGTCAATTTGTCCCTCTTTGCTGATGATATCATATTATATCTAGAAAACATTGAAGACCTCACCAAAACCTCCTAGATTTGATAAATAACTTCAATAATGTTGCAGGATACAAAATCAATGTACAAAAATCAGTAGCATTTCTATTCAGGATAATGAACTGAGAAAGAAATTGAGAAGGCGATCCCATTCTAGTAACTACAGAAACAAACAAACAAAACGAAAAAACTCTAGGAATAAATTTAACCAAGGAGATGAAAGATGTCTATAAGGAAAACTGATGAAAGACATCGAAGAGGACACAAATAAATGAAACCATGTCCTGTACTCTTGGATCAGAAGAATTAATATCATTTAAATGACCACACTACCCAAAGCAATAAAAATGCGATCTCTATTAAAATACCCACATTATTTTTTAGAAGATTAGCAGAAAAACCCCAAAACCTAAAGTTCATTTAGAAGCAAAAAAAAAAAAAGCCCAAATAGCCAAAGCAATCCTGAACATAAAGAACAAAGCTAGAGGCATCTCACTTCAAAATATATTACAAGGCTATAGTAACCCAAACAACATGGTATTGGTATAAAGACAGACACATAGATTAATGGAACATAGAGTCCAGAAGTAAATCAGTGTTTTTACCCCACTGACTTTTGAGAAAGGTGCCAAGAACAAACACTGGGCAAAGGTCACCGTCTTCAATAAGTAGTGCTGGGAAAATGGAATATCCATATGCAGAAGATGAAACAGGACTCATATATCTCCCAGTATGCAGAAATCAACTAAAAATGGATTAGAGACTTAAATGTAACACCAAACACTATAAAACTAGTAGGAGAAAAAAAACTAGAGATAGAGTTAACACTTCAAGACATTAGTGTAAGCAAAGATATCATGGCTAAGAGCTAAAAAGCACAGACAAACCTAACAAAAGTAGACAGATGGGACTACATTAATCTAAACAACTTCTGGCCAGCAAAGAAAACAATCAACAGGGTGAAGAAACAACTTGTTGCATGGGGGAAAATATTTGCAAACTATTCATCCAAAAAGGGACTAATATCCAGAATATATAAGAAACACAAACAATGTGAAAAACCAAATAATTCCATTAAAAAGTGAGCAGAGGGCATGGATAGACATTTCTCAAAAGACATCCAAATATGCAAAAGGCACATGAAAAAATGCTCAACATCACTAGTCATCAAGGGAATGGAATTCAAAACCACAACAAGATACCATCTTACTCAAGTTAGAAGGTATGTTATTAAAAAGGCAAAAAATGACAGATGCTGTTATGGATGTAGGGAAAAGGGAACTCTTAAACATTGTTGGTGGGAATGTAAATTAGTACAACCACTACAAAAAAATCTGTGTGGATTTCTCAAAGAACTAAAAATGAACTATCGTATGACCCAGAAATTTCACTACTAGGTATTTATCAAAAGGAAAAGAAATTGTTATATCAAAGAGATACCTTCATTTGTGTGTTTTTTTGCAGCATATTCACAATAGCAAAGAAAGAGAATCAACTTAAGTATCGGTTGGCAGACCATCGAATCAAGAAAATGTGATGTATATATACACACTGGAATATTATTTAGCCATAATAAAGAATGAAATAATATTATTTGCAGCAACATGTATGGAACTGGATTTTATTATTTTAAGTATAATAAAAGCAATAATAACCCAGGAACAGAAATACAGATACTACATGTTCTCACTCATATGTGGGAGCTTAAAAAGTTGATCTCATGGAGATAGAGAATAGATTGATAAACTCCCAGAGGCTGAGAAGTGTGTGCTGGTGAGAGGGGAGGACAAAGAGGCGTTGGCTAGTGGGTACAAACACAGAGATAGGTAGTAGAAATAGCCCCAGTTTTCAATAGCTCAGTAGGGTCATTATTTTAGCAACAATGTATTGTATATTTCAAAGTAGATAGAAGAGAGGACTCGATATGCTCTCAACACATAGAAATGATGAATTCTCAAGTTGATGGATAGTACAAATACCTTGGCACACATTGTATGCATGTAACAAATACATGTACCCCATAAATACGTAAAATATTTTGTATTGTAAAAAAATGGTAGAAACAAACTCATTGGGTTTATCTTGCCACCCTATAGTATTCTAAGACTGCACTATCCTCTGTAAAAGCAAAACAAGAACACCACCATCTGTAATTTTATTTTGATAGCAAAATAGAGATTCATGCAAATTTAGTCAATTTATTTTTCCTGCACTCATTTTTTTAAAGGTACTCGATAAATTTTCACTCTTTTGCAATATATCCACAAACTGATGCTATTTTGGCATATGTAAACAAATTAGCCACCTACTTATGCAACAAAACAAAGCTTTTGTTAAATTTTTGCAAAGTGGTTTGGACTAAAAATATTCTAAATATCTTTCAAATGTGTTCCAATCTAATAACCATGTGGTATAATAAATTTCTGGCCATAACATATTAAAGGACAGCTCTTCATATCTGTTCTTATAATACTTATTCAATTTCCCCTTACTTTAAATCTTTTTTTCATAGTACCTTAGAAGTTTGCAAAATTCAGAAGTAGCTGCATTTAGTCTGAGTGAATAGAACTCTGGAGATTTATGATGGGACCACATGACTATATAAAAGTGAAGTCATGTAATGATGATTTTCCTTGATTGTAAGAAGATGTTTTTTAGAAAATCAGTTACATATTTTCCCTCCCCATTTCAATGTAGATTATCACTACTTTAGTTGGAGCTTACATCAGGATTTGTATAGAAAAATAAAAAAGAAAATTTTGTTTGGGAGTCCTTTTGGGGATTATTTACTGAAAGAATAACCTCAGTGGGGATAATTTTGACCCTAACTTTCCCGAAGAATTAGCAATTTTAAAATATAGGTAACCTTTAAATCCATACATATTAATTTCATGAATATTTATGTTCTGTAAATATTTATGATTCAAGGTAGATCTTTCCAGAGGAAACTGAATTTGGATGGTTTTATATAAAGATCATAATGACTGTAATATATATATAGAGAGAGGAATAAGGCAGAAGAGAATTAAGTCTCAGCCTCATAAAGTGACTTGTTTACAGCAATATTTAAATAGGGGAGGCACACATTCCAAAAGCAGAAAGTGCACATTCAGTTTTATGATTTTATGAAACTGCTTGACTGACAGAGTTAATTTTGAATATTTCTGGCTTGATTTTCTCTTTGCAAATCTATTTACAGAGAAATAAGAAGCTGTGATGTGACCAATTTGTTACTTTCCAAAATATCTTAGTACATTTTTGATATGGTGATGATTGCCTGATTGACTCCCAAATCTGTGGTAATATGCAACTTAATTTCTCTAGCACCCAGGTCATATTAAACATTCAAAAAATGACACACTGTTTCTGAGTTTTTAAATAAAAAAGAAAGAACTCAGTCATAGGAATTTCTAAAGCAGAAGTCTTCACCTGTTAGGATACAAGTGTAGATGCCAAACCACTAAATCGTGAGTCACATGACCATGGTCCTTTTTAATCCTGTTGTCTTTAGTTCTCTGAACATTAATTTATTATTTCATAAAATAGAGAAACATACCTGTATAGCATGCCTCTTTTGATGATTAAGTGAAAAAGAATTATGTCAAAGAGCATTAAAAATTACCCTTATTACACAAGTGTTAGTCATTTTAGTCATTTTTATAATAAATATTTAATTATGAGCTTAATCTTTGTTCCATCAGAAAGTCATTTCTATTTTCCTTTTCATAAGCAGCTTTTCTCTTGTTTGACTCCTGAGTGAGTTTTCCAGAGCTGGTTTATTTATTTATTTTTAGATTAATAGTTAGCTTTTCATAGTGGGGCACTGCTGACAATCCCTTCTTTTGGACAAAACTCTAGCCTCACTCACCTACATGAGTAACTTCTAGGGGGGTCGAAAGCTATGTTAGGTACAACCAACTGCTTTAAAGCACACATTCCTTACAGATTTGGAACAAAATCTCAAAGTCAGAAGAGGACAAATTAAATATTTGAGGTTGCTATCTTTCAGTCAGTTGCCATCATTTATTACAATATTTTAAGGTTGCTTATTTGATGTGGTAGAAGATTGTGCCATACATTAAGATACCTTAACAATTTTTGTAATGGATTGCTATAAATAACTTACTAAAGGGTTACCATACAAAGAAACTTTGTATGGAATTTTCTTTGATCTGAAGATCAGTTGATGTCTATAATGAGACCTGATATACCAAAAAAAAAACAAAACTCTTTAGAACCGTTAATTAACTGTGCACAGAAGCTAGCCCTAGATTACATAAAGAATAGAATTAAATCGAAGGTAACAGCTGAATCTGATAAATTTAGAAGCAGTTGGGAAACATTACATTTTTATTAAAGTGTGATATAGGCATCTTGAGGTCTCCAAAGCTGATAACAATATTTGAAAAATGCTTTTGTTTCACTGTATTAAGTCTTACAAAACAAACTGTTTATTGTTTTTCTCAATTTATTAATTGATTCTAAAATAAAACCTTTCTAAACAAGCAAAACAACAACTTACATGGTATTAACTTTTGTGTCAGGATTGAATAAAGCAGTATTTGAAATTTAACACATTTTATTACATGTTTTCAAAAATTTTTATTAGTGTGTACCATACAATTGTGGAATGTTGATGATAAAATTTCTCAATATGAGTATTTTCAATGTGGTCTGTCTATGATTTACTCATCAGAAATGCACCACCAAATAATATTGACTTATTGAGTGACAAAAACAAATTTTGAAACTTTGAACCCCTTTGTATCTAAATGAGATGGCATCTGTTGAGATGGATGGGAGAATTCTCTGTATGGTATTGCTTGGTTGCCTAGCAACAGTCACCTGATGTGTTTGGGGAACCAGGCAATGAGCAAAAATTCTAATCAAAGAGAAGCCACAATATCTTTTACAAATGATAAGTGCATGTACAGTAACAACTGTTTTAGCTTTTGTTTGGGTGTATAAAGTATTTGAAACAGGTCAAGAGGGACTTTGGATAAGCTTCACTATTAAGAAAGAGGAATCCGGCAAGAGTTGTATTAAATTGCTCTTATGTTGTTTTTGAAAGATAGAGATCATATTCTAGGGAGATGTCTAAGAATCAAGATGTCCAGTGCCTATAAAATGAACTGTAATGACCTTGGGTAAATGGCATTTTGAAGAGATGTTCTTGGGCATTATTCTTAGCAGGAAATTTCAACTTACATGAATGATTACCCTTAATTAAGTAAGATAAGGAAATAAACAGTTTTCTACTCAGAGAAGGGTAAAAAACATAATTGTCATAAGGAGGGCATTGACAGTTTGGTCTAAACATGCCATAGATTTCTTAAAGGAAAGGTTAGAATGAATAAATACTTATTGCTTCAGATTAATTCCCATTATATAGTGTCCTCTTCTAGAAAGTTTGTGACTTCTTGATGTAATAGTTTTGTAACAGAAATACTGAAGCCATCTAACATGATGTTGCCAAATATACTATTACTGCATCAGTTATAATGAAGCTAAAATTCTTAGACTAGTTTCTATAACAGTAAGCATGAGCTATAATTTAAACTTTTATTTAACAACAAATTGTTGATGAATAGCTGAATCTAATAATCTAGTGGAATAGTAATTCCCACTACTCCTAATTTTTAAAAATCCTCCTTAGAATAAGATAGGGCAAAAATAAATATACAATATAATAATTGGCTTATATAATAAGTTTCTGTAAAAACATCTTCAAAATGTATATAAAAGTAGTATTTTGTAAAACCTCTAATCCAAAATGCTATCTTTCTAAACATATTATAAAAAATGTTTCAGAACTAAGGTACTTCTCTCTCATTAATATTAAACTTAATTATTTACATTTCATTTAGGTTTAATGTTTTCAAACAATGAATATTAGGGTTGTTAAAACTGAGATAACAATCATATAACATAAAGTTCAAAATTTTAAAAATTTAAAGCATACAACTCAGTGTTTTTAGTATATTAACAAGTTTGTATAATTATCGCCACTAATTTTAGTATATTTTCATTATCCCAAAAAGAAGCCATATATTTATTAGCAGTCACTCCCATTCTTCCTTCCTGCTAAGCTCATGGCAAGCACTAATCTACTTTCTGTTTCAATGGATTTGTTTATTCTGAATATTTTAAATAAATAATATGTGTAATATTATATGTTTGGCTTCTTTCACTTAGCATAATATCCTCAAGTTTCACTCGGGTTGTAGCGTGTACCAGATCTTCAATCCTTTCTACAGCTGATAGTGTTTCACTGTATGGATAAACCGCATCTTGTTTATTCATTCATTGGCTGATAGACATTTGGGTTGTTTTCATGTTTTGGTTATTATGAATAATGCTGCTATATTTACTCACATACAGGTTTTTCTTAGATGTGTATTTTCATTTCTCTCAGTTACTTACCTAGAATTGCTGGATAATACGTTAACCTTAGCTGGGATTACAGGTGCCTGCCACCACGCCCGGCTAATTTTTTGCATTTAGTAGAGACGGGGTTTCACAATGTTGACTCGGCTGGTCTCGAACTCCTGACCTCATGAACCACCTTCCTTGGCCTCCCAAAGTGCTGGGCTACAGGCTTGAGTATTTAGCTTTTTAAAGAACTGCCATTTTTTTTTTCCACAGCAGCTGCACCATTTTGCATTTCTACCAGCAATGCATGAGGGTTCCATTTTATCTGCGTCACTCTCAACACTTTGTGAATGGCCATCCATATTCTTCAGAGAAATGTTTATTCAAGACTGCTTCTCAGTTTTAAATCAGGTGGTCTTTTTTTGTTGATTTATAAGAGTAGCTTGTAGTAAGTGTTGAAATTAGAAAATGTGACTCCTCCAAGTTTGTTCTTTTTCAAGATTATTTTGGCTACTCTGTGTCCCTTGCAAATCCATATGAATTTTAGGACTAGCTTATCCAAATTTGCAAAAGAAAAAGGAAGTTGGAAAATTAATAGAGGTTACATTGAACCTGTGGATCAATTTGGGGATTATTGACATCTTAACAATGTTAAGTCTTTCAATTTATAGACATGGAATATCTTTCCATTTATTTAGCACTTCATTAAATTTTTTCAACAATATTTTCAAGTTTTCAGTGTACACATCTGGTACTTCCTTGGTTAAATTCATTTAAGCATTTTATTCCTTTTGATGTTTTAGTAAATAAAATTATTTTCTTGATTGCATTTTAGGATTGTTCAGTACTAAATTTGTAGAAATTCAACTGATTTTTGTGTTAATCTTATGTTCTGGAATCTTGCTGAACTTATTACCCACCTCTAATAATTATTTTGTGAATATTTCAGTTTTTTATTATATAAAATTATGTTATCTGTGAATGTAGTTATACTTCTTCCTTTTCAATCTAGATGTGTTTTCTTTTTCTTGCCTAATTACCTTGACTAGAACTTACAGTACGATGTTGAATTGAATTGTGGAAAGTGGCATCCTTGTTTTATTCCTGAACTTAGGGAGATAACTTTCAGTCTTTCCACAATTAAGTATGATGCTAGCTATACGTTTTTCATAGAGGCCCTTTATCAAACTAGGGAAGTTCTCTTTTCCTAGTTTGTTGAGTGTTTTTATCATAAAAATGTTACAATATTGACACTTTTTCTGCATATAATGAAACGACTTTGTCATGTTTGGCCACTTAATTTTCTGTGCTATTATGCTATGACCAGCTGGTGATTGGACAAATATTTTCTTAGGTGGCTGGAGCTAAAACAAAATCTCTCATGGGCTCTCTGTGTGTGTTTTGGGAATGCCTTCAACACTAAGCAAAGGAGTTTACAACTGTCTTATCTTTCATTATTCCTTGTGTAGAGCCTTAAGATTAGCCAGAAGTGAGAATTTAGGGCCTTCTCATGTCCTTCCTGAGTATGCAGACAGTCGTGGTCATGAATATGGCTTTCTAGGTTTTCAATAAGATGTTGGAGCTCTTCAAAACCCTTGTTCCTCAAAGTACCTCCTTCAGCCTTTCTTCCCAAGTTTTTAAATTAATTTATTGTTTGTCCCAACTGTTATTGATTGCCAGGAGGCAGCCACGAATAATACATTTGTTATGTAATTTGACAAAAATCCTTCCTCAGATATTCACCTAAGCAATGCAAAAATTCTAAGTTAGGTAAGATAATGGCAAGCCCTTTTATTCGAGGATCCACCAGACAGGTCAACTGAACAATCATGTTCTTTGTGAATGAGATCTGTTCCCTTCCCTCTGACACTGCTATTTGTACAATACTTGGAAAGTGAGCTTTTGTCATTAAGTTTATATTTGAGTCAGATGTTGAATAATGGGAACAGAGTAGTTTAAAACACCACAAAGCTCTTTCTTTACCAAGAGTCCATCAGCTTTTTCTTAAGAATTCCCTTAGTTGCACAAGCTTCTGGTTAATTTCCAGAATTTCAAAAATGTTGACTATAACATATATCACCAGTGTTTATTGGTTTTATGGAGGGATAAACTTTTGGCATTCCTTACTTTGCTGTTTCTGTTAACATCGCCCCCCTTTAGGATTTTTAAGAAATAATATTGAATATCTACTAATGAGGAGTCAAACTAAAACACTAATTTCTTGACATAGTGTATTTGTTTCTTATAAAATGAAACAGAAACATATAATCTACATCATATTCCATGCTTTGGTTTCTTTTTATCTCTTACTAATTGAAAATAGAACTTATATACTTATCATGTAGTTATAAACTTGTATGATCTCTGTTTATGCTGTTCTTTTAAAAAGTATATTTTAAATGTTCAGAGATATTGAGAATAAACTGCGGTCAAATGGCTAGTAAATGCCCAAACTGGAATTACTTCCAAATTATGCTTTCCCCAACACCACACATTTAAAAATTGTGTGTACATGCTTCAGTGACAGATGCTTAGTGAAGGAACCATTTCTCTAATTAAGCAGTTTATGGAATGAATGCAATGCAATTCTGAAATGTTACCCCAGTCTATCATCTCAGGAGGACCCTCATTAAAATAATTCCTTAATGTAACGGTATAAATGGATTCTCCAATATTTTAAGCTTGTCTCTCAGGAAGAAGTTGCCTGAAACCTTTGATGTTTTATAATCAGAGAGCCTTTTTGATCTTTTCTTGGTTATACCAATTTTGCATGATATTCCCCAGTCAATAATAATTCTATCATATTAAAATTGCTCTGCTTTATTCTTGATGGTCATCAAAGAATATTTGTTTTAGCCAAATTAATTGCCTGTGGAATAAGTGCAACCATGGGGTTAGTCTCTCTGAAAGGTTTAAAAGCTGGTTTTTATCTAAATTTCAAGTATCTCTTGGGTTATATTTGTTTAAGCCTTTATTTCCATCTTTGGGGGAAAACAAAAGTCATATTACCATTTAAAATTTACATGTATCAGAGTTTGGAGATACCAAAATACATAAGAAGTCTAGACAACCAAAGAAAACAGAAGTGTGCTTGCTTTAAAAATAAGCTATTGCTATTTGAATTGTACAGGAAATGACATACCTCCATCTATTGTCCTGAAGAGCAGTCAGTGTTTTGAATCTCTATGAGGGTAAGTAATCAGAAGCATTCTTTTGTGGAAAAGAATGGATGGATGGATGGTGGGGAAAAATAGGTTTCAAGGCAGACCCTTTTGTCTTGGTTTGCTAGTCTGTTTTTAACTCTTTAAATGATTATTGTGAGTATCTTTGGGGAATAAGTATGAAAGATGTTTTAAAACCTACAAACTGAACCATAGACATAAGTACATTTATTACCCATATCAGTAATCTTAATAATTATTGAGAGAGTGTAGCCATGTGTCACATCAGGTAGAGCTGTTGAGAGGAGATTTCCTAGTGGCCCCTTCTCCTGTAGTTTGTCTGCTATCACAGCCAGTTTTCCAGCCCTGTCATTAGAAAAGGGAGAGTAAGTCCTAATTCTTAGAAATGCTCCTTCTAATTCAGATAATATGTTATAGCTTCAATTGAGACAAAGTAGACTAATGTATATTACTATTATAAAAATATGTATTCATTAGGATTCTGTTTGCAAGTAATAGAGATCGAAATTGAAACACCTTAGGCAAACCAGGAATGTTTGAGTCATACAGCCAAATCTCAAGAAGAGCAGTGTTGGAGATGGCACAAGAATGGGTGGAGTCTGGGTTTAGATGCCATCAGAATTTCCTCAACATTTCACTCTGATTTTCTCTGCAGGTTGGCTTCTTCACCTGCTAGGGATATGGCTATCAGCAAGGTAAGAAAACATTCAAAAATCCTCAGGCTGGGAAGAGTTTCAGTTTAGGAACCAAATGTAGGCCCATTTGAATGAACTGTAAGGAATAAGATGGAAAGAAGTAGGAGTCCAGGATGTAGAGTCAGGCAAAAGCTCAATCTTGAAGGCCATGCTAGACCACACTCACAAAGAGTGTTTTTGGGATTCTGTTCAAGACCATATTTTCAGAGTATTTTTAGGCTTCTGATCAAGATTGCACATGAGTTTATATTCAGTCCTCGAATTCTAAACAAATAACTAATGATTTATGAAATATATCATTAAAAATAGTAGCAACAAACCAAAAATAGTTGGGCTCCAAAGCAAGCTAAATATTTCTGAAGACCAAAAACAGAACAGAGAGACAAATCAGTGAATGAGGCTGAAGCCATGAGTTTGCTAGTATGAAGCAGGGCACTGTCAGTGGGGGCCAGGAACTGGCTCCTGTAGGGTAATAGGGACTACTTGTGGTGAATTCATAGGGAACCACAGCCAGGCTGACTGCTTGGAGCCAAGGGCTGTCTTGAGGCTCCCTTGGCTGCCTTCCTGCCTCAATTCTAGAACACAGGAAGGCATATAATGCCAAATTATCCTACCAAATCAAGAATGTTTGTGAATTATCCTCTAGAGAATAGAAGAGGGAAAATGTCCAAATTCATTCTAATGAATCCAGTATAATATTGACACCAAAACGAGGCAATAAAAGTCTAAGAAAGAAAATGAGAGATGAATTTTACTTATGATTTGGATGCAGAAAATCTCCCCCAAATACTAATACATTTAACTAAGCAGTACATTAAAAAATACATTCTGACCATGCATAATTAATCTTACAAAAGCAAGAATGCTTCAATATTAGAAATGCTGTTATAATAATATATGATTAATAGATTAATAAAGAAATTTACATGATTATCTCAGTAGAAGCAGCAAAAGTAAATATGATTCAACACTGTTTTATATACTAAAAATGAAAGCTCTTAGCAGATAGCATAGCAAACAAAATATGCTACTTCTGTTGTTTTCTATGTCTACCTCATACTCATTCCTAAACCCCTTTTTCCTACCCACTTCTCACTATTGAGACTGTAAAATCTTGGTGAATCAAATGGGGGATATGGACAAAAAAGACTGGAAAAGCCAACTACTCACTTTTCCAGCTTCTGTTGTGTTAACAATGGGCAGATGGCTCAGGCCAGGCCAATGAGGTATAAGGATAATTCTGATGGCAAGGAAATGACTTTCCTCCGTAATAAAAGAAGAGATGGGTGATTCATTTTTATGTGCCGTGGCTACAGTCTGTTTCCTCCCTATGACCATAATTGTATGTGGATATGATGCTTGGAATATGCCATAAAGGAATGTCAGACATCTTGATCCAGGGAAGCTCCTGCCCCTGGAACCACCAATTTTCAAATTATTTCTGTATATCATAACTAAGTATTTTTATTGCAAATGTAAACGTTAGATATTCTTACTTTTGGTCAAAAGCATTTCTAATTGATACAGAATGAAATTTCCTTAATCTAAGAAAGGGTGTCTATTCAAATTCTCCCAACTATCATACTTATTGATAATAGGTTAGAAGTTTACCACTTAGGAATGAAAATGATGCCATTTATAACTTTTTCTATTCAATGTAATACTACAAGTGCTAGTTTGTCTAGTAAGATAGAGAAATAAAGTTATACAAATTATGAAGGAAAAGGAAAAAAAGTCTTTAATTTTCCACAATATGATTGCTTTTATAGAAAACTGAAAGGTATATATATATAAATAAATTAATAGAACTACTCAGAGAATTTTGAAATTTTACTAGATTTTAGGTAAACTAAAAAAATTACATAACTACTATCCACTAAAATGAAATTGATAAATATAATAATATTACATAATAGTGGTAAAGTACTCATGAATAGCTCTAAAATGTCTTAATACTTTTAAGGGGATATTTTTGAAATATTCCTGAAGTACATAAGACTTGAATAAAAGGAGAAATACACAAAGTTTAGGAATTAAAAACTCTTAAAGAAGCACCAATTTACCTCAAATAAATATATATTTTCAATGCAACCTCTATTCAAGACCTAAAGGGATTTATTCAGGGTCTTGATAACTCCTCATGAAACTCATATGATGGTACAAAAGGCCAAGAATAGCTGAGACAATTTTGAGAAAGAAGAGATAGAGGGACTTTATCACACTTGTTTAACAACTTATTAATTATGAGCATATAATATAGAAATTGCTTGAAGTTGGGCAAATAGAAAAATTGGGGAATTTTAAGGAAGTCTAAACATCTATGTAGAAACAATATATTTCAGACTTTTCATTAAAACTGTTGGGAAAGAATGAACAAATATATAAATAGTTCTGGGAAAATTAGTTATCCATATGAAAAACAACTGGAATTCCATTTCATCCAGAATAAACAATTAGGTGGCTGAAAAGGTAAAAATGGAAAGGCAGACCTTTGACCTTTTTAATAGAAATTATGAGAAAATATTTTCATAATCTTGGGCTAAGGAATGATTTATTAAGTTACAAAACAGAATAAATACTAAAGAAAAAAGATGGTTAAATTAACTCTATTAAAATTAAATTTCTGGTCTTCAAGAGACATCATTACCAAAAATAGAATACATGCTATAGGTTGAGAGAAAAATATCTGAAATGTCTTAAAGTATCTAAAATATATCTGACAAAGAATTAGGATCTAGAGTTAAGGAAGGATACCTACAAATGAGGGAGGATATAAGTAATAATACAACAGATAAGTGAGCAAAGGAGAGGAAGAGGGACCAGAAAGAGAAACTCAATCTACGCATATGAATATTCTCAATCTCACTGATTCTTTGGGGAAATGCAAATAAAAAACTGAAATTCCTTTCAAAACCATGGAATTTGAAAAATTAAAATCTAGTTTTACAATTCAATTAGTTGATAAGGATGTGGAGCAATGAAAATTCTCATTTATGCTAGTAGGAGTGTTCACTGAGGAGATTGCAGTAGAATTTAGCACAGTACAGCAATGTGTGTTATGGCCTTAACCCTCACACTATTTATACATCCTAGAGAAAGTTCTTATAGCACAGGATAGCAAGTAAGGTGTTCATGGCAATGCTGCTTGTCATAGTGAAGACTAAAAATACCTAAATGTCCATTAAAAAGAACAGATAAATGTTATGACTTCACAGAATACTATAAATGGTTCAGATGAATGAACGAGAACTATGTTATGACACCTCAAAAACAGAATACTGAGCATAAAAATCAAGTGTCCTAATGATGGGCAAATTACACTATTTAAGTAAAGTTTGAAAACAGGAAGAACCCTTCTGTATAATGTTTCTGTATATATACATGAGTAATCATAGATTGAAAACATGCATGAGAATGATGAATACCGGCTTCAAGACAATGTTCACTCAGGGGAAAAATAAAGGAAGAGGACTGGGGAGAAATGCTTAGAAACTTCAATTATCTGAAACATTTTATTTAAGCTGAGAGTGTGTTACTTGGAATTTTATTAAATTATTTGAGATTTTGTATCCCTGAAATGTTTCACAAGGATCTATTATCTTTCCCTCCTTCCCTACATCGACTTATCTACCTATCTGATGCACATATGTCAGAATAGATAACAGATCTGTAAGTTTTATGTTATTCTGTCTACTTTGCTAAATATTTTAAACATTTAGTTTTCTAAACAGTTACAGTTGCTGCTGTCTGGATAATCCCTCGGGATAATATGGGGTGTGAGATGCCACTGAGCCTTACTACAGTAGCATACGAATGAAAATAGTGAATCTGAAGAACATTTTGAAAGTTGTATGGATACCTGTAGAAACTGAAAGTAAACGTTTAGGAAAAGGCTGATACATCATGTTTCTGCCATGAGTCTCTGAGGGAATAATGAAATAAGTGACTTCTATTGCCAGAAAACACATGTGGAAAGGCTCAGGCTGATGGTGGGGGAAAGGTGAGGCCCTATTTCTCTGAATTTTAATATTCATAGTTTATATTTCTTGAAACATTCCTTGATGTGTTGTATATCCTTTTAAGTGCATTCTGTTGTTACAGAGTTCATCAGAAGGTGTTTGTAGCTTGGCTCCTTCTGAAGATCCCAAGGTAAAATTTTCTGTTTATAAAACATGAAGGCTCTTACAAATGGTCTATACAAATTATTAATATAATGAACTGGCCTGCATGAAGTGGTCTAGGAAAGATCCATTACTTGATTCTTCCTGTAACAGCGTGGGCTTTGAGCTGTGGAAATGCTGATTGGATTGAAACAAGGCTTGCAGCGAGAATCATCTGTTAGAAAAAAGATGTTGTTTGAGTTCATTGTAGATTCTGGACATTAGCCTTTTGTCAGATGAGTAAATTGCAAAAATTTTCTCCCATTCTGTAGGTGGCCTCTTCACTCTGATGGTAGTTTCTTTTGCTGTGCAGAAGCTCTTTAGTTTAATTAGATCCCATTTGTGAATTTTGGCTTTTGTTGCCATTGCTTTTGGTGTTTTAGACATGAAGTCCTTGCCGATGCCTATGTCCCAAATTTACAAGAAAAAAACAAACAACCCCATCAAAAAGTGGGCAAAGGACATGAACAGACACTTCTCAAAAGAAGACATTTATGCAGCCAAAAGACACATGAAAAAATGCTCATCATCACTGTCCATTAGAGAAATGCAAATCAAAACCACAATGAGATACCATCTCACACCAGTTAGAATGGCTATCATTAAAAAGTCAGGAAACAACAGGTGCTGGAGAGGATGTGGAGAAATAGGAACACTTTTACACTGTTGGTGGGACTGTAAACTAGTTCAACCATTGTGGAAGACAGTGTGGCGATTCCTCAGGGATCTAGAACTAGAAATACCATTTGACCCAGCCATCCCATTACTGGCTATATACCCAAAGGATTATAAATCATGCTGCTATGAAGACACATGCACACGTATGTTTATTGCAGCACTATTCACAATAGCAAAGACTTGGAACCAACCCAAATGTCCAACAATGATAGACTGGATTAAGAAAATGTGGCACATATCTACCATGGAATACTATGCAGCCATAAAAAATGGTGAGTTCATGTCCTAGAAAAAGTACAGCCTGACAAAAAATAACCTCTTGAGCCCCTCCCCATCTCACTTATAAAGTGACAGATAATCTCACACCTGCCAGGCCCTTCTGCTTTCCTTTTACATACTTATATACAGTTTATTCTTCCAGAGCAAGATTTCTCAACCTTGGTGCTATTGATTTTGGGCTGGGTAATTCTTTGTTTCTGGGCCTGTCTTGTGCTTGCCTCAATCAAATAGATGCCAGTAGTATCCACCCACACAGTTGTGACAACTCAAACCCAAAATGTCTCCAAATATTGCCAAATGTCCCCTGGGAGGGCAAAATTGCTTCTGGTTGAGAATAACTGTTCTAAAGATAGGCTTACATGGGCCACTAAAGGGAAAAATGGTGAATGAACTTTAATTCTGCAACCTCACTAATATTTGGATTAGGCTTTCATGCATATAAATATATTTGGGGTTATACTAAAAAACTCATGATGTAGGGACCTTTATTAACAGAAGTATTCTGTCACGGGACTCACCTTCTGTGTTCTGACTCTGACAGCAATGTCAATATGTGAACCACTTTTCCATGCTGGAGGCTGAAAATACTGCCGTGAATGAAAAACAGTTTCTTCTCTGAAAGAGAAGGCACTCCTGGAACTTTATGTAAATCCTTGACCAAAATGAAACTTAACATAGATCAGCATTAACTGTGTACCCTACATCAGTGATGAACATTACTACTGGCATTCATTAATGAAAGACGTCACATGTGTGTATATTTATTACTATGAATAAGAATCTTCCTTGCTCTGCTCTTCTTGTATCATTATTAAAGGATGAATAATACCCAGAGAGGTGGTTAAAGCTACTTAATTGGGATATGAATAAATGAAATGTTTAATTAAGAAGGCCAAATGCCAAGGATTTGAATTAGTTTAATGCTTTTCTAGGACTTGACATAATACATTACTGGTGGCTAGCCTTTACAAAATGCTTTGCTTTGAGACACAGGGTTAATTGTTAAGCTTTGGCTTAAAACAATCCAATCTATTATCACTTTGTTTTATATTTTTTGTTTTTTTTCATTGCTTAAATTTGTAGAGAGGAATCCTTATTTTAATAAGGTGTTTCCTACCTTAGGATATTCCAAACCTTTATTATTCACAAATGCTCTTATTTGATTCCAAGTTCCATATATTTTAATATACTCTGCAGCTACAAGATTGAAATGATTTCTAAATTGGCATCTTTCAGTTTTTTCAGTGGCTTGCACAAATTAAGAAAATGTTATTCTGCTTATCAGGAGTGAGCTGGTTGTAGCTTGTGATATTTGTGCTGGTCTTTAAAATATCAGCCATAGAATCATTTATTGTCCAATCAAATAAATTGGAATGCTTCTAACACTGGCTGAATTTTCAGGCTTTTTTTGTGAAATAAAATAATAAAGGATAGAATAGTAATAAAAACCAATTGTACTGATGCATGACATACATTTGCATTGCTCAGATTTGTTCTGCTTCTCATTCCTCCAACTATTTCCCAAAAAAGCCATCCAAAGTAGAAACTTGGTAAGTTTTTTAAAATAAAGCTTATGGACAATACTCCTTAAAAAGATAATATTTTTTAAAAAAATTTGAGGCATGTATTTTAGAATTCTTTGAATACTCTGAAATAAAAGAACAGGTAGAATCATATTTTTTAGAACAGATAGTGATTTTATGGGTAATTCAACACAAAGTTTTCATTTTACTTATGAGGATACTGAAATTAAGATAGGTTAATTGACTTACAAAAGGTCTCCCAGATAGAATAGGCATAATAAAGAATTACTAATTCCTAATCTATTGATATTGGTTTTCTTGCACATGACCTTTCTACATGAACTTCAGGGTTATCTTTTCTGAATATTATTATGTGTTTTAAAGTCAGGGATACAGAAGGCTAAAATAATATTTTCTTCACAGCCAAAAGTTTTGTGTATCAGTTTTAAGGGTTATTTTAATGGTCCTTGATATATTATGACATTTGGAGATTCACATGCACATCACAAGTGCAATTGGACACAGGTTAGTTGTATGACCCAAGTGTTCAACTAGAATTGGATTCCTTTCTGTCTCTAAAGGTATACATTTTGAGATTTATAGAAAGAAAATACCTTTAGCATTGTTTGTACATCCACCAATAAAGTTTTTTAAAAATATAATTTAATCTTAATGTTTCAATTCTGAGGAGTGGGCACATGGGGTTTGTTAAATTGTTCTGTGTAGTTTTTGTTTTGTTTTCAAGTAAATTAATTTTGTAAAGTCAAAAAAGTGAAATTATATGTTAAAATATTTTTGCTATAATAAAGCCAGTATTGCTCAATAGAATATTGTCTTCTTATAATATATGTTCAGTATAACTTCAAGGGATAGAAACTTGCTACTATGAACATTCTTAGAAAAAATAATTCTGTAACAATATAGTAACATCAGTAACAATTTAAACATTAGGTCTCTCCCCCTTATGGTGGTATACAGTGTATATAAGGAGGTATCTCATTGTGATTTTGATTTACATTGCCATCATGACTAAAGATGTTGAGCATCTTTTCATGTGCTTTTTTGACATTTGTATATAATGTATTCAAATTTCTTGCCCATTCTAAAATTGGGTTATTCCACTCCTAGATATATGACCAATAGTAAGTTTAAAACATCATGAAAAATTTTGAATATAATGTTCATATTAGCTTTATCCATAATAGCCAAAAGAGAAAACAATCCAAATATCCATTAACTGAATAATGGATAAACAAAATGTGGTATTGTTTTATTGCCAAACAATATTTCACATATAATGAAATATTGTTTGGCAATAAAAGTAAATTATTATATGTGAAATATTGTTGGCAATAAAAGTGAATCAAGTATTGACATATGTTATAACATGGATGAAATTTGAGAGCATGCTAAGTGAAAAAGAAATAAAAAATTATACGACTACACATCATATAGTTGTGTTTATATAAAATTGTTGGAATAGGCAAGTCAACAGAGACAAAGTAGATTAGTAGTTGCCTAGGGCTAGGAAGAGAGGGAAGTGGGGTATAACACTAAAGTGTATATTTTTTTGTGGTGGGGGGGTGGTGAAAATATTCTAAAATTAGATAACTGTGGTTGTCACATGGCTTCGTGAATGTATTCATTTGTTCTCACACTGCTAATAAAGACATACCTGAGACTGGATAATTTATAAAGGAAAGAGATTTAATTAACTCACATTTCAGCATGGCTGGGGAGGCCTCAGGAAACTTATAATCATGGAGGTAGGGGAAACAAACACATCCTTCGTCACATGGTGACAGCAAGAAGTGCCAAGCAAAAGGGGGAAAAGCTCCTTATAAAACCATCAGATATCGTGAGAACTCACTCGATATCAGGAGAACAGCGTTAGTGTAATCACCCCCATGATTAAATTACCTCTCACCAGTTCCCTCCCACAACAAGTGGGTATTATGGGAACTATATTTCAAGATGAGATATGGGTTGGATCATAGTGAAAGCATATCAGCGAATATCGTAAAAAATTGAATTGTAAACTTTTTTAGTATATGTGCTGCCAAAGAGAGGCATGAACTGTAAGTTTTAATAGGATAGATTTTATAGTATATGAGTTATATTTCAATAAAACTGTTTGAAAAAGGAAAAAACTATATAATTATTATAAAAATAATACAATTTTCTTCTTTAATAGTTTACCAATTAATAAAAATGAGAATTTTTTTTTTATTATTATACCTTAAGTTCTAGGGTACATGTACACAACGTGCAGGTTTGTTACATAGGTATACATGTGCCATGTTGGTTTGCTGCACCCATCAACTTGTCATTTACATTAGGTATTTCTCCTAAAGCTATTCCTCTCCCAGTTCCCCCACCCCCTGAAAGGCCCAGTGTGTGATGTTCCCCGCCCCGTGTCCATGTGTTCTCGTTGTTCAACTCCCACCTATGAGTGAGAACATGTGGTGTTTGGTTTTCTGTTCTTGTGATAGTTTGCTTAGAATGATGGTTTCCAGCTTCATCCATGACCCTGCAAAGGACATGAACTCATCCTTTTTTATAGCTGCATAGTATTCCATGGTGTATATGTGCCACATTTTCTTAATCCAGTCTATCATTGGTGGACATTTGGGTTGGTTCCAAGTCTTTGCAATTGTGAATAGTGCCGCGATAAACATACATGTGCATGTGTCTTTATAGTAGCATGATTTATAATCCTTTGGGTATATACCCTGTAATGGGATGGCTGGTCAAATGGTATTTCTAGTTCTAGATCCTTGAGGAATCATCACACTGTCTTCCACAATGGTTGAACTAATTTACAGTCCCACCAACAGTGTAAAACTGTTCCCATTTCTCCACATCCTTTCCAGCACCTGTTGGTTCCTGACTTTTTAATGATTGCCATTCTAACTCCTCTGAGATGGTATGTCATTGTGGTTTTGATTTGCATTTCTCTAATGAGCAGTGATGGTAAGCATTTTTCCATATGTCTTTTGGCTGCATAAGTGTCTTCTTATGAGAAGTGTCTGTTCATATCCTTTGCCCACTTTTTGATGGGGTTGCTTTTTTCTTGTAAATTCGTTTAAGTTATTTGTAGATTCTGGATATTAGCTCTTGTCAGATGGGTGGATTGCAAAGATTTTCTCCCATTCTGTAGGTTGCCTGTACACTCTTATGATAATTTCTTTTGCTGTGCAGAAACTCTTTGGTTTAATTAGCTCCCACTTGTCTATGTTGGCTTTTGTTGCCATTGCTTTTCGTGTTTTAGTCATGAAGTCTTTGCCCATGCCTATGTCCTGATTGGTATTGCCTGGGTTTTCTTCTAGGGTTTTTATGGTGTTAGGTCTTACATTTAAGTCTTTAATCCATCTTGAATTAATTTTTGTATATGGTGTAAGGAAGAGATCCAGTTTCAGCTTTCTACATATGACTAGCCAGTTTTCCCAGCACCATTTTTTAAATAGGGAATCCTTTGTTCATTGCTTGTTTTTGTCAGGTTTGTCAAAGATCAGATGGCTGTAGATGTGTGGTGTTATTTCTGAGGTCTTTCTTCTGTTCCATTGATCTATATATTTGTTTTGGTACTAGTACCATGCTGTTTTGGTTACTGTAGTCTTGTAGTATAGTTTGAAGTCAGGTAGCATGATGCCTCCACCTTTGTTCTTTTTGCTTAGGATTGTCTTGGCTTTGTGGGCTCTTATTTGGTTCCATATGAAGTTTAAAGTAGTTTTTTCTAATTGTGTGAAGAAAGTCAATGGTAGCTTGATGGGGATAGCATTGAGTATACAAATTAGGTTGAGCAATATGGCCATTTTCACAATACTGATTCTTCCTATCCATGAGAATGGAATGTTCTTCTATATGTTTGTGTCCTCTTTTATTTCATTGAGCAGTGATTTGTAGTTCTCTGTGAAGTGGTCCTTCACATCGCTTGTAAGTTGGATTCCCAGGTATTTTACTCTCTTTGTAGTAATTGTGAATGGGAGCTCACTCATGATTTGGCTCTCTATTATTGGTGTATAGGAATGCTTGTGATTTTTGCACATTTATTTTGTATCCTGAGGCTTTGCTGGAGTTGCTTATCAGCTTAAGGAGATACTGGGCTGAGATGATGGGGTTTTCTTTTTATTTATTTTTTTATTTATTTATATTATACTTTAAGTTTTAGGGTACATGTGCACAACGTGAAGGTTTGTTACATATATATACATGTGCCATGCTGGTGTGCTGCACCCATTAACTCGTCTTTTCACATTAGGTATATCTCCTAATGCTATCCTTTCCCCATCCCCCTACCCCATAACAGGCCCTGGTGTGTGATGTTCCCCTTCCTGTGTCCATGTGTTCTCATTGTTCAATTCCCACCTATGAGTGAAAACATGCTATGTTTGTTTTTTTGTCCTTGCAATAGTTTGCTGAGAATGATGGTTTCCAGCTTCATCCATGTCCCTACAAAGGACATGAACTCATCATTTTTTATGGCTGCATAGTATTCCATGGTGTATATGTGCCACATTTTCTTAATCCAGTCTATCATTGGTGGACATTTGGGTTGGTTCCAAGTCTTTGCTGTTGTGAGTAGTGCTGCGATAAACATACATGTGCATGTGTCTTTATAGCAGCATGATTTATAATCCTTTGCGTATATACCCAGTAATGGGATGGCTGGGTCAAATGGTATTTCTAGTTCTAGATCCCTGAGGAATCGCCACACTGACTTCCACAATGGTGGAACTACTTTACAGTCCCACCAGCAGTGTAAAAGTGTTCCTATTTCTCCACATCCTCTCCAGCACCTGTTGTTTCCTGACTTTTAAATGATCACCATTCCCACTGGTGTGAGATAGTATCTCATTGTGGTTTTGATTTGCATTTTTCTGATGGCCGGTGATGATGAGCATTTTTTCATATGTCTTTTAGCTGCACAAATGTCTTTTTTTGAGAAGTGTCTGTTCATATCCTTTGCCCACTTGTTGATGGGGTTGTTTGCTTTTTTCTTGCAAATTTGTTTGAGTTCATTGTATATTCTGGATATTAGCCCTTTTTCAGATGAGTAGATTGCAAAAATTTTCTCCCATTCTGTAGGTTGCCTGTTCACTCTGATGGTAGTTTCTTTTGCTGTGAAGAAGCTCTTTAGTTTAATTAGATGCCATTTGTCAATTTTGGCTTTTGTTGCCATTGCTTTTGGTGAAATTGAGGCAATAATTAATAGCTTACCAATCAAAAAAAGTCCTGGACCAGACGGATTCACAGCCAATTTCTACCAGAGGTACAAGGAGGAACTGGTACCATTCCTTCTGAAACTATTCCAATCAATAGAAAAGGAATCCTCCCTAACTCATTTTATGAGGGCAGCATCGTCCTGATACCAAATCCTGGCAGAGACACACAAAAAAAGAGGATTTTAGACCAATATCCCTGATGAACATCGATGCAAAAATCCTCAATAAAGTACTGGCAAACCAAATCCAGCAGCATATCGGACAGCTTATCCACCACGATCAAGTGGGCTTCATCCCCAGGATGCAAGGCTGGTTCAACATATGCAAATCAATAAATGTAATCCAGCATGTAAACAGAATCAACGACAAAAACCACATGATTATCTCACTAGACCTAGAAAAGGCCTTTGACAAAATTCAACAGCCCTTCATGCTAAAAACTCTCAATAAATTAGGTATTGATGGGAAGTATCTCAAAACAATAAGAGCTATTTATGACAAACCCACAGCCAATATCATACTGAATGGGCAAAAACTGGAAGCATTCCCTTTGAAAACTGGCACAAGACAGGGATGCCCTCTCTCACCACTCCTATTCAACATAGTGTTGGAAGTTCTGGCCAGGGCAATCAGGCAGGAGAAAGAAATAAAAGGTATTCAATTAAGAAAAGAGGAAGTCAAATTGTCCCTGTTTGCAGATGACATGATTGTATATTTAGAAAACCCCATCATCTCAGCCCCAAATCTCCTTAAGCTGATAAGCAACTTCAGCAAAGTCTCAGGATACAAAATCAATGTACAAAAATCACAAGCATTCTTATACACCAATAAGAGACAAACAGAGAGCCAAATCATGAGTGAACTCCCACTCAAAACTGCTTCAAAGAGAATAAAATACCTAGGAATCCAAGTTACAAGGGTTGTGAAGGACCTCTTCAAGGAGAACTACAAACCACTGCTCAGTGAAATAAAAGAGGATACAAACAAATGGAAGAGCATTCCATGCTCATGGGTAGGAAGAATCGGTATTGTGAAAATGGCCAAACTGCCCAAGGTAATTCATAGATTCAATGCCATCCCCATGAAGCTACCAATGACTTTCTTCACAGAATTGGAAAAAACTACTTTAAAGTTCATATGGAACCAAAAAAGAGACTGCATTGCCATGTCAATCCTAAGCCAAAAGAACAAAGCTGGAGGCATCACACTACCTGACTTCAAACTATACTACAAGGCTACAGTAACCAAAACAGCATGGTACTGGTACCAAATCAGAGATATAGACCAATGGAACAGAACAGAGCCCTCAGAAATAATGCCACATATCTACAACTATCTGATCTTTGACAAACCTGACAAAAACAAGCAATGGGGAAAGGATTCCCTATTCAATAAATGGTGCTGGGAAACCTGGCTAGCCATATGTAGAAAGCTGAAACTGGATCCCTTCCTTACACCTTATATGAAAATTAATTCAAGATGGATTAAAGACTTACATTTTAGACCTAAAACCATAAAAACCCTAGAAGAAAACCTAGGCAATACCATTCAGGACATAGGCATGGTCAAGTACTTCATGTCTAAGACAATGGGGTTTTCTATATATACAATCATGTCATCTGCAAACAGAGACAATTTGACTTCCTCTTTTCCTAACTGAATGCCCTTTATTTCTTTCTCTTGCCTGATTGCCCTGGCCAGAACTTACAATGCTATGTTGAAAAGGAGTGGTGAGAGAGGGCATCCGTGTCTTGTGCTGGTTTTCAAAGGGAATGCTTCCAGTTTTTGCCCATTCAGTAAGATATTGGCTGTGGGTTTGTCATAAATAGCTCTTATTATTTTGAGATACGTTCCATCAATACCTAGTTTATTGAGAGTTTTTAGCATGAAGGGCTGTTGAATTTTGTGGAATGCCTTTTCTGCATCTGTTGAGGTAATCATATGGTTTCTGTCTTTGGTTCTGTTTAGTGATGGATTACGTTTATTGATTTGCATACGTTGAACCAGCCCTGCATCCCAGGGATGTAGCCAACTTGATTGTTGTGGTTAAGCTTTTTGATGTGCTGCTGGATTTGGTTTGCCAGGAAGGCTATCAATTATTGCCTCAATTCCAGAGCCTGTTATTGGTCTATTCAGAGATTCAAATTTTTCATGGTTTAGTCTTGGGAAGGTGTATGTGTCCAGGAGTTTATCCATTTCTTCTAGATTTTCTAGTTTATTTGCATAGAGGTGTTTATATTATTCTCTGATGGTAGTTTGTATTTCTGTGGGATCGGTGGTGATATCCCCTTTATCATTTTTTATTGCATCTTTTTGATTCTTCTCTCTTTTCTTCTTTATTAGTGTTGCTAGTGGTCTATCTATTTTGTTAATCTTTTCAGAAAACCAGCTCCTGGACTCATTGATTTTTTGAAGGTTTTTTTGTGTCTCTATCTCCTTCATTTCTGCTCTTATCTTAATTATTTCTTGCCTTCTGCTAGCTCTTGATTTTGTTAGCTCTTGCTTCTCTTGTTCTTTTAATTGTGATGCTAGGGTGTCGATTTTAGATCTTTCCTGCTTTCTCTTGTGGGCATTTAGTGCTATAAATTTCCCTCTACACACTGCTTTAAATGTATCCCAGAGATTCTGGTACATTGTGTCTTTGTTCTCATTGGTTTCAAAGAACATCTTTATTTCTGCCTTCATTTTGTTATTTACCCAGTAGTCATTCTGGAGCAGGTTATTCAGTTTCCATGTAGTTGTGCAGTTTTGAGTGAGTGTCTTAATCCTGAGTTCTAATTTGATTGCATTGTGGTCTAAGAGACAGTTTGTTGTGATTTCTATTATTTACATTTGCTGAGAAGTGTTTTTCTACCAATTATGTGGTCAATTTTAGAATATGTGCAATGTGGTGCTGAGAAGAATGTATATTCTGTTGATTTGGGGTGCAGAGTTCTGTAGATGTCTGTTAGGTCTGCTTGGTCCAGAGCTGAATTCAAGTCCTGGATATCCTTGTTAACCTTCTGTCTTGTTGATCTGTCTAATATTGACAGTGGGGTGTTAAAGCCTCCCGTTATTATTGTGTGGGAGTCTAAGTTTCTTTGTATGTCTCTCAGGACTTGCTTTATGAATCTGGGTGCTCCTGTATTGGGTGCATATACATTTAGGATAGTTAGCTCTTCTTGTTGAATTGATCCTTTTACCATTATGTAATGGCCTTCTTTGTCTCTTTTGATCTTTGTTGGTTTAAAGTCTGTTTTATCAGAGACTAGGATTGCAACCCCTGCCTTTTTTTGTTTTCCATTTGCTTGGTAGATCTTCCTCCATCCCTTTATTTTGAGCCTATGTGCATCTTTGCACATGAGATGGGTTTCCTAAATACAGCACACCAATAGGTCTTGATTCTTTATCCAGTTTGTCAGTCTATGTATTTTAATTGGGACATTTAGCCCATTTACATTTAAGGTTAATATTGTTATGTTTGAATTTGATCCTGTCATTATAATGTTTGCTGGTTTTTTTGCCGGTTAACTGATGCAGTTTCTTCATAGCATCAATGGTCTTTACCATTTGGCATGTGTTTTGCAGTGGCTGGTACCTGTTGTTCCTTTCCATATTTAGTGCTTCCTTCAGGAGCTTTTGTAAGGCAGGCCTGGTGGTGATAAAATCTCTCAGCATTTGCTTGTCTGTAAAGGATTTTATTTCTCCTTCACTGATGAAGTTTAGTTTGTCTGGGTTTGAGATTCTGGGTTGAAAATTCTTCTCCTTAAGAATGTTGAATATTGGCCCCCACTGTCTTCTTGCTTGTATGGTTTCTGCCGAGAGATCTGCTGTTAGTCTGATGGGCTTCCCTTTGTGGGTAACCCCACCTTTCTCTCTGGCTGCCCTTAACATTTTTTCCTTCATTTCAACCTTGGTGAATCCGGCAATTATGTGTCTTAGGATTGCTCTTCTCAAGGAGTATCTTTGTATTTTCTGAATTTGAATGTTGGCCTCCCTTGCTAGGTTAGGGAAGTTCTCTTGGATAATATCCTGAAGAGTGTTTTCTAACTTGGTTCCATTCTCCCCATCACTTTCCAGTACACCAATCAAATGTATATTTCGTCTTTTCATATAGTCCCATATTTCTTGGAGGGTTTGTTCATTTCTTTCACTCTTTTTTCTCTAATCTTGTCTTGTCACTTTATTTTATTAATTTGATCTTCAGTCACTGATATCCTTTCTTCCACTTGATCAAATTGGGTAATGAAGCTTGTTCATGAGTAACAAAGTTCTCGTGTCGTGGTTTTCAGCTCCATTAGGTCATTTAAGGTCTTCCCTACACTGTTAATTCTAGTTAGCCATTCCTCTAACATTTTTTCAAGGTTTTTAGCGTCCTTGTGATGGGTTAGAACATGCTCCTTTAGCTCGGAGAAGTTTGTTATTACCAACCTTCTGAAGCCTACTTCTGTCAACTCGTCAAACTCATTCTCTGTCCAGCTTTGTTCAGTTGCTGGCGAGGAGCTGCAATCCTTTGGAGGAGAAGACGCACTCTGTTTTTTGCAATTTTCAGCTTTTCTGCTCTGGTTTCTCCCCGTCTTTGTGGGTTTATCTACCTTTGGTCTTTGATGTTGGTGACCTATAGATTGGGTTTTGGTGTGGATGTCCTTTTTGTTGATGTTGATGCTGTTCCTTTCTGTTTGTTTTCCTTCTAACAGTCAGACCCCTGAGCTGCAGGTCTGTTTGAGTTTGCAGTAGGTCCACTCCCGACCCTGTTTGCCTGGATATCACCAGCGGAGGCTGTAGAACAGCAAATATTGCTGCCTGATCCTTCCTCTGGAAGCTTCATCCCAGAGGGGCACCCGCCTGTTTGAGGTGTCTGTCGGCCACTACTGGGAGGTGTTTCCCAGTCAGGCTACACGGGGGTCGGGGACCCGCTTGAGGAGGCAGTCTGTCCTTTCTCAGAGCTTGAACGCCGTGCTGAGAGAACCATTGCTCTCTTCAGGGCTGTCAGGGACATTTAAGTCTGCAGAAGCTGTCTGCTGCCTTTTGTTCTACTATGCCCTGCCCTCAGAGGTGGAATCTATAGAGGCAGTAGGCCTTGCTGAGCTGTGGTGGGCTCTGCCCAGTTTGTACTTCCAGGCCACTTTGTTTACACTGTGAGTTACTCAAGCTTCAGCAATGGCCGATGCCCCTCCCCTTGTCAAGCTGCAGCATTGCAGGTCCATCTCAGACTGCTGGACTAGTAGTGAGCAAGGTTCCGTGGGTGTGGGACCTGCTGAACCAGGCACGGGAGGGTATCTCCTGGTCTGCTGGTTGCTAAGACTTTGGGAAAAGCACCATATTTGGTCAGGAGTGTACTGTTTCTCCAGGCATGGTCTGTCACGGCTTCCCTTGGCTAGGAAAGGGAAATCCCCCCACCCCTTGCACTTCCCGAGCGAGGTATGCCCCGCCCTGCTTCAGCTCATCCTCCATGGGCTGCACCCACTTTCCAACCAGCCCCAGTGCAATGAACCAGGTACTTCAGTTGGAAATTCAGAAATCACCCTTCTTCTGCATTGATCTCGCTGGGAGCTGCAGACTGGAGCTGTTGCTATCCAGCCATCTTGGAAGCAACCCTGAGAATTTCAAAATAAGTCTTTTAGAATCCTTACAATGAGAATAAATTGATTACCAGCTGATAAATACAATAGCCATTTTTTACTTAGGTTATTAAAAATTAATATCTTTGTGTTAAAAACAAATGTTTTCACTTCCTCTGTCAGTAAATAGCATCATTATCTGTCTATTGGTCTATATCAGGATAATCACTTTCCATTTTCTTTATCTCCAACCCATACTGGAGTGTGAGGTTCTGTTGGTTATACCTCCTGGTTATCATTTGGCATTCTTTCTTTCCAATCATGCTGCCTCAGCCTTAATTCAGAATTATAATATCTGGCCTACTCTATAGCCAATAGGTTGGTGTGTACATCTGGTAGATAATGTTCTAAACTTCATATATGATCTTAGTGACATCAATGGTACAATTTCACTTAGAGAATAAAGACTAACATTTTCCTTATGATCTGGAAGACCTTTTATATTATGAGCTCTGTCCATCCCCCCGCCCTACTTCCTATCATTTCCATATGACAACATACACTAGAGTTCAATGCACTTTTCGTGCCATTTTGGACAAGTGAAATTTTTTTTGAGGTTTCATCTTTGACTCATGAGTTAATAGATGTGTGTTGTCTGCTTTTCAAATATTCAGTGATTTTCCAGCTACCTTTATGTTATTGATTTCTAGTTTAATTCACTGAGTCCTGAGAACATACTTTGCATGGCTTTTATTCTTTTAAATTTGTTTTTGTATGCTTTATGGCCCAGAATGTGGTTTATTTTGATGAATTTTTCATGTGTGCTTAAAAACAATGTGTATTCTGACATTGCAACGAGTATTCTATGAATGTCAAGTAGATCACATTGATAGTGCTATTCAGGTCGTCTATATCTTTACTGATTTCCTGCCTGCTTGCTCTATCAATTACTGACAGAGATATGTTGAAGTCTCCAGCTGGAAGAGTAGATTCATCTATTTCTTTTTGCAGTTTTATCTGGTTTTGCTTCAGGTGTTTTTATGCTTTTTTGTAAAGCGCATACACAGGATTATGTCTTTTTGGAGAATTGATCCCTTTATCATTCTGTACTGTCTCTATTCTGATAATTTTCTTTGTTCCGATGTCTGATTTGTCTGAAGTTAACATAATTACCCCAAATTTCTCTTGATTGGAGTTCGCATGATATATTTTTCTCCATATCTGTACTTTGAACCCATCTGAATCTTTATATTTAAGATGTTTCTTATAGATAATGTGTAGTTGAATCTTGTTTTTTATTTAATCCAATCTGACAACATCTATATTTTATTTTATTATTTTTAGAGACTTTATTAACTTTCAGAGACATTATTATTAACTAAATTTCACAGTTTATCATAGGGTCCAATTTTGGGTTGTACATTCTGTGAGTTTTGACAAATGCATAATGTCATGTCTCCACCATCACAGTATCATACAGAATAATTTCAGTGCCCTAAAAATCCCCTGTGATTCATCTGTTTATCTCTCCCCTCTTCCTCCTGCCCATAATGGAACTCCTGGCAACAGTCAGTCCTTTTATTGTCTCTATAATTTTGCCTTTTATACAATATTATATAGTTGGAATCATACAGGGTGCAGGCTTTTCAAACTAACATCTTTTACTTAGCAATATGCACTTAAAATCCTTCTTAAGTTCTTTAAGTTTTTTCATAGCTTGCTAACACATTTCTTTTTATCAGCAAATGATAATAAATTTTATGAATGTACCAGAAGTGTGTAATTTAAATTTGGTGTAAAGAAACACATCTTTATTACTTTCAATTTTTGGCAATTATGAATAAAACTGTTATAAACATTTGTGTGCAGATTTTTGTTTTAGATCTTTGTTGATTGTTTTCATTGTAGTTTTATAGTTTTCCTAATACAGATCGTATTGTTAGCTTTATAAATAGGTACTTAATTTTTTTGATTGGTGCTGATGTAAATGCTGTTTTTAATGTCAAATTTCACTTGTTCACTGCTGGTATACAGGAGAGCAATTGAATTTTGTTTATTAACCTCATATCTGGCACCCTTGCTACAATTGCTTATTAGTTCCAGGAAATTTGTTTGTTGTTGTTAATTCATTAGATTTTCTACATAGTCATGTCATCCTCAAACAGTTTTTTTCCCCTAATCTGTACATCTTATTTCCTTTTCTTTTCTTATTGTGTTAGTTAGGATTTCCAGTAAAATGATGAATAATAATTGTGAGAGGGGATATTCTTGCCTTATCCCCAATCTTAAAGAGAATGTAATTAGGTATTATAATAGATGTAGGTTTAAAAAACAAATTTTTAAACAAGTTGTGGAAGTTCTGCTCTATTTCTAGTTTGTTAGGAGTTTTTATCATGGACAGGTATGGAATTTTACACATGCTTTTTTTCCGCATCTCTTGATGTGATCACATGGTTTTTATTCTTTTGTGTGTTGATATGATGAATTATATTTATTTTTTAAACATTTAAAGGCTGTTGAACCAGCCTTACATACCTGGAGTAGAACATGCAAGATTGCGGCATATAATTCTTTTTGTACATTGTTCAGTTCAATTTGCTTATATTTCATTGAGAAGTTTTGCATCAATATTCATGAAACATTTAAAAATATTTAGTGGCTGCCTTGGAATTTACAATATGTAGCTTTTAAAACCTATAGCCTAATCCACTTTCAAATAACACTGTACAACTTCACATGTTGTGTAGATACTTTATAAGAAAGTATTCCCAGTTCCACCCTTCACTTCCTGTGAACTTGCTGCAATTCATTTCACCTATCCATATGCTATAATGACCCAATATATTGTTGCTATTGTTGCTTTTAACAAACAGTTATCATTTAGGTCAATTAAGAATTAAAAAATGTGTTACCTTCATTTATTCTTTTTCTCACACTCTTTCTTTCTTTATGTAGATCCAAGCTCCTGATCTATATTATTTATGTTGTGCCTAAAGAACTTCTTTTAAAATTTCTTGCAGGGCAGGTCTGTTGTGTATGAATTCCCTTAATGCAAGTTTGTCTGAGAAAGGTTTTTTATCTCTCTCTTATATTACCCATCTAGTCTTGCATTTCATTTTTTCCATTAGGCTCCTTAACCCTTTAATTATAGTTATTTTAAATTCCTTTCTGATAGTTCCAACATCTAAGTGAAATCCGATTCTAGTTCTGATGATTGATTTGTTTATTCAGATTGTGTTTTTCTTGCCTTTTGCCATGTCTTGCAATTTTTTTGTTGTTGAAATATGGACATGTTGTACCAGATTATAGGAGCTGAGGTAAACAAGTCTTTAGTATGAGAGTTTATGCTAATCTGGATAAGAATTGGGCTGGGTTAAATGTTAGCTGTAGCTGTAGGTGCCAGGGGCTTTGGCTTCTCTTGTGTTCTCATTTTTATCTCGACTTGACTTTGGCTTCCGTAAATACTCTCCCTCAGAGAAAATCCACGTCTTACTACTCTTTCAGCTGTAACCCATTATTATTATTCTGAGTCCCTGTGGAATAGTACAGTGTTGGGGAACAGAAATGTTCTATAATCTGGTTACAGCTCAGCAATTACTAGGCTCTCAAGGCTGTAACCTTCACAAGTGATTTTCAAAGAGTACAGCATCCCCAACTCCATCTTTTATCCCTCTACTTCTTTTCCTGCCAGAAACATTCCTAATCTATTTACTTAAGGCTATGACCCCTGTTGAGTGATTTTTCCCTTAGCTGAGACAGGAGAATGGAAGGGGCTGAATTAGGAGGAATTCCCTCCTCTCATCCTGGATAAGGTTCTGGCAAAGCATTTTTAACCTGAAGAGCAGGTCTTGATTATGGACTTATAGAGTAGACTCTGGGCTTATTTCACAACTATTTTCTTCTCTGCCCACCCTTCAACCACCAGAGCCACAGGAAATTTTTCTTGGATATTTACTGTGAGAAGCTAGTGGGATTCCTGAAGGTAAAGCTCATGATAGTATAAAGTTTCCCTCAAGATTGCAGCACCAAGATTTTCACTCCAAAGCTAGTCCACATTCAGCTTTCTATAATTCATCAAAATTACTATTTGAGCCTTCCTACCAGGTTATGGCTCCAGTGGCTGCTTCCTCAGGTGAACAAATCTCACCTCTGACTCTCTGGATCCTCCTGTGTCTCCAGATATGAGAATGGCGGTTTGATCTAAGGCCTGAGATTTCTGATGGGTCTAAGAAAAGTCATTGATTTTCAGTTTTCCCAGTTTTTTTTTTTTTTCTGTTATAAGAATGGAAGCAATTAGTTTAAAGCTCTTTACATGTTGAAATCTGATGTCCTGTCATGCCACTTCCACCATTGTGCCTTTGGATATATTTTCTATCTCATCCTGTAATGCCATTTCCAAATTACTCTTTAGAACTCACCTCAAGGCTGGGCGTGGTGGCTTATGCCTGTAATCTCAGCACTTTAGGGGCCGAGGCAGGTGGATCACGTGAGGTCAGGTGTTCGAGACCAGCCTGACCAATATGGTGAAACCCCATCTCTACTAAAAATACAAAATAAGCCGGGCGTGGTGGTGCATGCCTGTAATCCCAGCTACGTGGGAGACTGAGGCAGGAGAATCACTTGAACAAGGGAGATGGAGGTTGCAGTGAGGTGAGATTGTGCCACTGTACTCCATCCAGTCTGGGCAACAAGAGCATAATTCCGTCTCAAAAAACAAGCAAGCAAGCAAACAAACAGAAAACGAACAAAAACTCACCTCAAATATCACTTTAAGCAATGGAATATCTTCTATTTGTCTGCCCGCCCTGCACTCTAAAAAGGTTAATTTTGCTTTCCTGTGGCTTTCAAAATATCTAAAATACTATATTTACTATATGACTTTTTACTTCTATATATACTTGTATCTTTCATTGTGACCTGTGTATTTAATTCACCTCTGTGTTTCAAGTGTTTAGGAAACATGCCAATACCTAATATACCCTGAACAAATAGTTTTTAATAGATAAATTGATCATTACAAATTATAAGGCTTAATTTTGTAAGAATGGAACCAGCCTCTTCATGATTTTTGGACGAATTAACCATAACCAATATTATATAAACAAACTTTATTCACTTGGATGTTTTCCTTTCAGCTTAAACCTTACAGCTGTGTAGACAATTGCTGTAGATTATTGCAAACACTTGCCATAAGGACAACAGAACTTATGTTCCTGCTCTTTCTCCCACCTTAGGTGGTAGTCAGCTGTGATTGAAAAATATCGTAAAATGGAAGATTTGATCAATACAAGTAGCTTCAAAAAAAGATATGGTATATACATACATATATATTTGAAATATGACATTTAATTTTAATATAATTTATAATGAAGGCTGTTTGTATTGTATGTTTTTATGTAAGGCTCATTTTTAGATTTATATACATTTCTCCTTAAGTGTAATAAGGGTTCTTTGTGGTAAGGACTGTATTTTATCCAGTCATTCTCTAAAGCACCAAGTAGAGTGACGGGACGATATTAGACACTTAATGAGTCACTGTATACATGGACATTATCAATTAGCTTAATATTTGAAATAAATTATTTCTGCTCTTTTTTGAATAGTTGCATAAAAATATTACTGTAAATGCTAACATTTAAAACTCTGTTAGATGCCTTTATGTTATGTAGAGAATCCTCTCTGTCCCGCTAATAACTAGCTCTAAGTAGAATGTCAGTTTCTGAACCTGTTTTCCAGGAATGTCATCCGGTAGCATGAGACCATGGCATGCTTTATTGTAAAACACTGTGGGTGGATTCCCCATATACATATCTTCTTCTGTATTAAACTTCTCAATTGTTACACAAATAAAAACAGTGCTTTTAGTGTATCTGCCAAAAGTTGACAATCTGAATTATTTATGGATGGTTTAGATCCTGGGGCAATTTCCTGCTTGAATATTTCATGTAATTGACTGTAAATATGAAAGTAGAGAGAATGTTGGGTTGATTTTTCTCAGTCTGAAACAAATCTGCACCTTCCCATTATACAGCTTCCCTTAGGAATATCATGAAAATAAATGGGTTGGATTGCTACATACAGTGACTGGGCAGTAGAATAATATTTTAAATTTGTATGATTTTTCATGTTTTAATGGCTGCTTTTGTTTAGTTCATTTCTAATCTCCAACACTCAGAATTATCTGTCACTCACTCATCTGTATCCAGGAAATTAGCAAGATTGATAACATAGGAAAGATTTATCAATAGTAGAAAGAACTTCCTTTGAGCAATATTTATGATTGACATTTCAGAAACAAGATGATATCAATATGTAAGTCATAATGTTATAAAATTTTCTAGCAATGGACGATAGAATTAATATATAGAGAGATACAAATAACCCTGAAGAGGTGAAGAAGCTTATTTGAACATAGAAAGCCAAAAGTCTAATTTAGGACACCTTCAAATCTCCTCTACTTTTGGGTCATAGTGTTAGGTAATACCTCTAATAATAGTAGCAGTTATTTCTTCTGAATGCAGGTGTACCTCCAGTTGTAACCACAGTTGTTTCTTACTCATGATGGTCCAAGTTCACATCCTCTTTCAATTTTTTAGAGGCAGTGCAAGTGAGGGATGTCTTAAGCAGAGTAGAAAACTAAAGCAATATGTTATTTTTTTGTTTGTTTTTTAAGTCATAGCCATAGAGTTCTTTACCTGAGTTCCAGGGACCCTCAAGGACCCATAAATAGATCAATATTTTAATATAATTGGTTTACTTTGCCATTTTACTGTCTTATTTATTTAAAAACATTATTCTGAGATAGGGTCCATAGACTTCTTCACACTGCCAAAGAGGTTCATTATACATACAAAAAAAGCTGTTAGCATATATTAGTGACAAAATTAAAAATTTGTTTTGAATGTCATGGAAGCAAATAATGTATTAACTTATTTTTCAAATAGAATTGACTAAGCTAGTTGTCTAATTTTATCCTGTCAATGCAGTCTCATTATGTAATGCTCTAGTAGAATATTCAGAAAGCTCCAACAATAAGAAGCATCCATTTACAGGTCACAAGACCATCAATGGAGGCATTTCTGGCATTGTCAATTCTTTTTTAAGTTGGTGATTTGTGGTCAACTATTCCTGAGACTAAGTACCTACCACAAAAATTATGTGTTTGTTTTAAATTGTTAATTGACTTGTCATAGACATATTTGTATCTCCTATTTTAGTGGTCAGTATAATCACAAACAGATGTTGCAGAGGCAGCTGTTGATAGCGGAACCTATAATACTCAGGAATATGAAACACATTTAACATAAGTTTAAGAAATAGAAGTGGACCTTTTTCAGTGTAATATTTCTCCTACTTACCCACCATTCCCACACATTTCTTTTAGGTTAAATCATTTTAGAGCTCTGCTAACAGGCAAACCTGTTCTTCTAGGGCTAGGCGAATTCATTACTTAACATCACCTTTTGATCATAGCAGTTCATTTGATTAGCCCTTTTCCTCTAGAAAATTGGTTTTCAAACTTTGGGCCATCATTTAGTTATAGATTATGAAATCAGTTTAATAGATCATACCCAGTATTTCTTTTTACGTAGAAGTGCATAAATGGAACATATCAAGTCTGTCATATGTATGAATGATAAATATTGTTTTGTGAAAATTTGTGGGGTTTTTTGGTGTATATATGTGTGTGGGGGGTAGAACGTAGAGTCATATGTATGTTTACTACATTGAAATATAAAATGTATTTCTTATTGCAGGCTATTGTCAAATAAGACTTAAACTGATTGTCCTAAAAAGTTTTGGAAATCACAAGTAAATTAGTATGGAACTGAGGGAGAGTCAAGAAAATGTGGAAACAAATAGACGACTTAGTGTATAGGAAGCTGGGGACATTAGCACCTAATGATTGGCAAAAATGGTATTGAATATTATTACTAGTGTTAAATACAATCATTATACTTGATGTTTCTTGAGTGCTTACTGTCTGCCAGGATATGTTATAAGAAATTTCCATGGGCTAATGCACTTAATGTTCCCAATGATGCTTTTTATGTTATATAGGTAGTATTGCTATTTCTATTTTACTAATGAGAGAAGAAAGGTACAGATATGCTTAGCAACTCGACCAACATCTTTTAGCTTAGTGAGTGGCAAATTTGAGAATCAAACCTAGGTTCTCTAACTATAAAGTTTATGCTCTTAACACTATAGTAAATTGCTTCCCATTTTAAAGGAGATTGAAACATTAAAAAGAAAAGCAAGAATTGACTGCTCCAAATTTATTTTTAGAAAGGACTGTATATAAAACCATCCTCCCCTAGAATAAGTTCCAGACAATACAAGACCAGGGCTTTCAGTACCTAGCCTATTCAATTTTATAAATGAGTTTTTTTTTTGTTTTGTTTTTTGTTTTTTTTTTTGCAGAAGGTTTTAAAACTAGCTAAAAGGTTAATGGGCTTGATACAATGGGCTTGTAGACTTGTGAAAGAGCCATGCTGGCTGGCTAGAGAACTGCAAATTTAGCTCCTGTCAAATTGACATATATTGTACAACTCTGATCGCCCTATGTATTGAATTTTAAATGACAATACAATTTCAGTACATTTACTCAAATGCTTTTAACTTTCTTCACAAAGGCGGCAAACTCTCCAGAAATACAAACAAAACTAAAATCACCGTTTCAAATTTCAGGCAACTGAAAAGGATTCTGCTGCTGATATAGCAACATGAAGTGAAGAGGAAGTGGTTCAGTTTAATATTTTCCTTAGTATATACAAGTACAAATTATGCTTCTATCAACTTTAATGATATATCTGTTGTGGATTGCTAACTAGCAGTCAAGGCAAGCCAAGGTGAAGTGACTGGGTGATTTCAGAGCTGATATCTTCAGTCTTGTGGGAGCTGATCTTGTCCGTCTCTTGGACATGTGCTCTCTGCGTATCAGAAAATACTGTTGATCACATCAGAGCGTTTGTGAATCCAGTGATTTTTTCCTTCATGAAATGTTCTAGTCTTTTGAGATCTTTGTCTGTGGTGTCACAGCTGAGTGAGCAATTTCTGGCTCCCTGAATTTCCCTTGAGGGCTAAACTGTCAACATCTATGTTCATCATGGAAACCTTAAATTACAGAAAAATAATCTGATTTTAATCATGATTTTATATGTAAAATGAAGGCTCTTTAGAACTTGTAGCTTTCTGAATTTGCCCCTTTGTGAGTTTACTTAATATAATTTGCTAAATGATTGTCAGTCCCCCCAATGAAATTTTTATTTTGTTTTGCTTCCTTTCCTTCTCCCTTACTCTCCTCCTTCCTTCTTTCCTTCCTCTTTCATCCCCTCTTTCTTCCTTTTTTCAGTATTTTATCCCTTTCAACATTTACTGAAATACTGCTATGTGCTAGACACCGTGGGTGTGACTAGGCATACAGAAACATTCCTTGCTTATGAGGGGCACGCATTCACCTCTTGCTATTCATTTTAATCATTGAATATGAAACTTTCTTATTTCATTTTTTTCTGACACCAGTCTTGCCCATATTCTGTCTCTTGTTCTCCCCATGGGCATGGCTGATTAATGCCAAAATGCTGGATGCACCTGGTTTGGTTTATCCTGTCTGATACCACTGGAAATAACAAATAGCTAGATTAGGACTTTCCTTTTGCTTCAGAGCAATGAAATCGGATCCAAGCTTAATGGAAGATATAATGAAAGAGAGAGGGAGGGGCTTGGGATTCAGTCCTATAGGGTGATGCCGAGGAGGCAACATTTCTACATTTTAACCTATTGTGGTCACTGCCCAGTTACCTGAGATTGTAAGTGTCCTAGCAGGAATAAAAGCATTGGGTATATATTTTAAAAATTACATGTGACTAGTTATGTTGCCCCTTATCATTAGTCACTCTTATTGCACTTGTGGTTCATTCTCTATATGGTGATTTAAAATCACCTTTCTAACATAAAAATCTGATTATGCTGTTCCACTATTGTGATGCTTAATATTGAGTGTCAACTTGATTGGATTGAAGGATGCAAAGTATTGGTCCTGGGTGTGTATGTGAGGGTGTTGCCAAAGGGGATTAACATTTGAGTCAGTGGGCTGGGGAAGGCAGACCCACCCTTAATCTGGGTAGGCACCATCTAATCAGCTGCCAGAGAATATAAAGCAGGCAGAACAGTGTGAAAAGGCTAGACTGGCTTAGACTCCCAGCCTACATCTTTCTCCTATGATTCATGCCTTTGAACATCAGACTCCAAGTTCTTCAGCTTTGGGACTTGAACTGGCTTCCTTGCTCCTCAGCTTGCAGACAGCCTCTTGTGGGACCTTGTGATTGTGTGAATTAATACTTCTTAATAAACTCCATATATATATATTTATATATTTATATAGCTATCTATATCGATATCTATCTATCTATATAGGATATATATATATTTTATACATATGTATGTGTGTATATATATACACACATATATATGTATATATATGTGTGTGTGTATATATATATATACGTATATATATACATATATATACATATATATGTATATATATATATACATATATATACATATATATATATATGTATATATATATCTCCTATTAGTGCTGTCCCTCTAGAGAACCCTGACTAATACAGATTTTGGTACCAGGAGTGGTTCTAGAGAAACAGAATATTAAAGATGAAGTTCTTTCATTGGTTTGGGGGTTTCTGGAGTTGGCTGCTTAATATGATTAGACCCCAAAATGCTAAGGATTCTACTTCTAATAGTATAGAGAACACTGATAGCCCTTGGCCTGAACTGTTCAGAGAGTTAATAAATGCATTTGACACTCCTGATTCACCACTTGTGAGAAGCAAGGAGTTTGGTGACTCTATGTATAATAACTTTGACCATATGTGGAGAACCAAGGAACAAAATGAAGCTGTTTGGTTGGTTGCTCCTAAGTTCACAGGACAAAGTGATGACAGAAAATGATCAACTCAAGGATTCTAACTCCCAGCTTCAGAAACAGATACTGAGCCTCAAATCTCCTAAGACTGCCCTGAGTCAGAGTCTTATCTCCCATGAAGAAAGAGCTGAAATTGTGGAAAATCAGATACAAGCTTGTATCATGCAAGTGGCTGATCTGCAATGAAAGGTGCATGCACAGCCTTGCCAGGTGTCTACTGTTAAAGTGAGGGCATTGATTGGAAAAGAATGGGACCCTGCAACTTGGAATGGGGACATGTGGGAGGACCCTGTTGAAGCTGGGGACATTGAGCTTGTAAACTCTGATGAGCCGTTCTTGCCAGAAGAAACAGCTTCCCCATCCCCAGTAGTGGCAACATCTCCTCCCTGACCTACACTGCCATCAGCCTTTCCATGTTTGTCTGAGGAGAAAAGCCCTGCATTGCCTGAGGCAACAGTGATGTCCTCCCCTGAGGCAGTTGCCAGGCAAGATAATGTTGATTCTCCTCAGGAACTATCCCCAACACCCCCATTTGCTTCTAGACCTATAACTAGACTAAAGTACCAGCAGGCTCCCAGAGGTGAGGTTCAGAATATGACTCATGAGGAGGTGCCCTATACCTGAAAAGAACTGCTTAAGTTCTCTAATTTATATAAACAGAAATCTGAAGAGCAGGCATGCAAATGGATATTAAGGGTGTGGGTTAATGGTGGAAGGAATATAGAGTTGGACCAGGCTGAATTTATTGATTTGGGCTCACTAAGTAGGGATTTTGCATTTAATGTTGCAGCTCGGGGAGTTAGAAAGGCTTCTAATAGTTTATTTGCTTGGTTAACTGAAATATGGATTAAAAGATGGCCCACTGTTAGCTGAAATATGGATTAAAAGATGGCCCAAGCTGGAAATGACTGATTTTCCTTGTTTTAATGTAAAGGAAGGGATCCAAAGGCTTAGGGAGATTGAGATGGTGGAGTGGGTTAGTCACTTTAGACCTACTCATCCTAGATGGGAGGGTCCAGAAAATATACCCTTGACCAATGGTATGCAAAATAGATTTTTGAGGGCAGCACCTGCACCTTTGAAGAGCCCTGTAATTACTCTTCTCTGTATGTCAGATCTAACAGTGGGAACTGCAGTCACTCAACTATAAAATTTAAATACAATGGGAATAATTGGATTGCAAGGAGGCAGGGGCCAAGTGGTAGCACTCAAGCGTCAAAAGCAAGGTGGGCATAGCTACCATAATGGACAGCCGAGGCAATGTAGCAATCAGAATAGTGTGACTCATGAAGAGCTCTGGCATTGGCTAATTAATCACAGTGTTCCTAGAGGTGAAATTGATAGGAAGCCTACTGCATTCCTACTTAATTTATATAAGCAGAAAACTCCCAGGTTGAATGGACAAAAGATGAATTTGAATTATAAAAACAGAATCATGGCCTCTCAATCAATTTCTAGACTTCAGCCAGTTTCTAGACCCAGAACCCCTTGAATGAAGGGGAGGCTTGGTCTCCTTGAGGAAGGACCCCACTACACTATCAACAATTTATGCTGTTAATCTTTCTCCCATACTTCCCCAAGGAGACTGCTGGCCTTTTACTAGGGTAAATACATTAGGGAAATGGAAATGATCAGACATTTCAGGGGCTACTGGACACTGGCTCAGAGAGCTGACATTGATTCCAGGGGACCCAAAACATCATTGTTGTTCTCCAGTTAAACTAGAGGCTTATGGAGGTCAGGTAATTAATGAAGCTTTAGCTCAGGTAGGCCTTACAGTGGGTCTACTGGGTCCCTGGGCTTATCCTGTGGTCATTTCCCCAGTGTCAGAATACATAATTGGCATAGACATAGTTAGCAGCTGGCAGAACCCTCACATTGGCTTCCTGACTGGTAGGGAAGCCCACCCCACCACTATCAGGGTGGGAAAGGACAAATGGAAGCCATTAAAGCTGCCTCTACCTACAAAAATAGTAAATCAAAAACAATATTGCATCCCTGGAAGGATTGCAGAGATTAGTGCCACCATCAAGGACTTGAAAGACACAAGTGTGGTGATTCCCACCAAATCCCCATTCAACTCTCCTATTTGGCCTGTGCAGAAGACAGATAGATTTGAAGAATGGCAGTGGATCATCATAAGCTTAACCAAGCTTAAACAAGCTTAACCAATTGGTGACTCCAATTGCAGCTGCCGTACCAGATGTGGTTTCATTGCTTGAGCAAATTAACACATCTCCTGGTACCTGGTATGCAGCCATTGACTTGGTAAATGCCTTTTTCTCCATTGTTGTCCATAAGGCCCATCAGAAGAAATTTGCCTTCAGCTGGCAAAGCCAGCAATATACCTTTACTCTCCTACCTCAGGGGTATATCAACTCTCAGGCTTTGTGTCATAATCTTATTTGGAGAGAACTTGATCGCTTTCTGCTTCCACAAGATATCACAGTGGTCCATTACATTGAAGACATTATGCTGATTGGATCCAGCGAGCAAGAAATAGCAAACACACTGGACTTATTGGTGAGACATTTGTGTGTCAGAGGATGGGAGACAAATCTGACTAAAATTAAGGGAACTTCTACTTCAGTAAAATTTCTAGGGGCCCAGTGGTGTGGAGTCTGTCTCGATATTCCTTCTAAGGTGAAGAATAACTTGCTGCATTTGGCTCTTCCTACAACCAAGAAAGAGGCACAACACCTAGTGGGCCTATTTGGATTTTGGAGACGATACATTCTTCATTTAGGTATGTTACTCCAGCCCATTTATTCAGTGACCCAAAAGGCTGCCGGTTTTGAGTGGGGTCCAGAACAGAAGGTCTCTGCAACAGGTCCAGGCTGCTGTGCAAGCTGATCTGCCACTTGGGCCATATGACCCAGCAGATCCAATGTTCTTGAGATGTCAGTGGCAGATAGGGATGCTGTTGGGAGCTTTTGGAAGACTCCCATAGATCAATCACAGTGGAGGCCACTAGGATTTTGGAGCAAGACCCTGGCATCTTCTGCAGATAACTACTCTCCTTTTGAGAGATAGCTCTTCACCTGGTAATGGGATTTGGTGGAAACTGAACATTTGACTATGGGTCATCAAGTCACAATGCAACCTGAATTGCCTATTATGAACTGGGTGCTTTCTGATCCATCTAGCCATAAAGTGGGATATGCACAGCAGCATTCCATCATCAAATGGAAGTGGTATAAACATGATCGGGCTCAAGCAGGTCCTGAAGGCACAAGTAAGTTACACCACTCTTCCTACCCTTCCTTGTCTCCCCCAGCCTGCACTGACGGCCTCATGGGGAGTTCTCTAGAATCAGTTGACAGAGGAAGAGAAGACTAGAGCCTGGTTTACAGATGGTTCTGCATGATATGCAGGCACCTCCCAAAAGTGGGTAACTGTAACACTACAGCCTCTCTTTAGGATATCCCTGAAGGACAGCAGTGAAGGGAAATCTTCCCAGTGGGCAGAACTTTGAGCAGTCCACCTGGTTGTGCACTTTGTACAGAAGGAAAAATGGCCATTATGTAATTATGTACTGATTCATGGCTGTATTCAATGGTTTGGCTGGATGGTCAGGGACTTGGAAGAAGCATGATTGGAAAATTGGTGACAAATTTGGGGAAAACATATGCAGATGGACCTCTCTGAGTGGTCAAAAACTGTGAAGATATTTGTATCCCCTGTGAGTGCTCACAAATGGGTGACCTCAGCAGAGGAGGATTCTAATAATCGAGCAGAGAGCATGACCCATTCTGTAAACACAACTCAGCCTCTTTCCCTAGCCACCCTTGTCATCGCCTAATGGGCTCATGAACAAAGTGGCCATGATGGTAGGGATGGAGGTTACACATGGGCTCAGCAACATGGACTTGCACTCATCAAAGATGAACTGGCTACAGCCACTGCTGAGTGTCCAGTTTGCCAGCAGCAGAGACCAACACTGAGACCTTCATATGGCACCATTCCTTGGGGTGATCATCCAGCTACCTGGTGGCAGGTTAATTATACTGGACCTATTCCATCATGGAAAGGGCCAAGGTTTGTTCTCACTGGAATAGACACTTACTCTGGATATGGGTTTATCTATCCTGCATGCAATGCATATGCCAAGACTACCATCTATGGACTTATGGAAAGCGTTATTCACCGTCATGGTATTCCACACAGCATTGCTTTTGAACAAGGCACTCACTTTATGGCTAAAGAATTTGGCAGTGGGCTCACGCTTATGAAATTCACTGGTCTTAACCATGTTTCCCATCATCTGGAAGCAGCTGGATTGATAGAATGGTGGAATGGCCTTTTGAAGTCACAATTACAATGCCAAATAGGTGACAACGCTTTGCAGGGCTGGGGCAAAGTTCTCTAAAAGGCCATGTATGCTCTGAATCAGCATCCAATATATGGTACTGTTTCTCGCATAGCCATGATTCATGGGTCCAGGAATCAAGGGGAGGAAGTGGAAGTGGCACCACTCACCATCAACCCTACTAATCCACTAAGAAAATTTTTGCTACCTGTTCCTGCAACATTGCATTCTGCTGGCCTAGAGGTATTAGTTCCAGAGGGAGGAACACTGCCACCAGGAGACACAACAACGAATCCATTAAACTGGAAGTTAAGATTGCCACCTGGACACTTTGGGCTCCTCCTACATTTAAGACAAAAGACTAAGAAGGGAGTTACAGTGTTGGATGGGGTGATTGACCCAGACTATCAAGATGAAATCAGTCTATTACTCCATAACAGAGGTAAGGAAGAGTATACATGGAATACAGGAGGTACAATAGGGTGTCTCTTATTATTACCATGCACTCTGATTAAGGCGAATGGGAAACTACAACAGCCCAGTCCAGGAAGGACTACAAATGGCCCAGACCCTTCAGGAATGGAGGTTTAGGTCACTCCATCAGGAAAAAAACCACGACCTGCTAAGGAGCTTGTTGAAGGCAAAGGGAATACAGAATGGGTAGTAGAAGAAGGTAGTCATCAATACCAGCTGTGACCATATGACCAGTTACAGAAACGAGGACTGTAATTGTCATGAGTATTTCCTCCTTCTTCTATTAAAACAGGTTTGTGCATGTATACACTTGTACTAAGAAAATATCTTTTTTTTTTTTTTTTTTTTTTTTTTTTTTGAGACGGAGTCTCACTCTTTCGCCCAAGCTGGACTGCAGTGGCGCTATCCCGGCTCACTGCAAGCTCCGCCTCTTGGGTTCATGCCATTCTCCTGCCTCAGCCTCCCGAGTAGCTGGGATTACAGGCGCCCACCACCACGCCCGGCTAATTTTTTGTATTTTTAGTAGAGACGGGGTTTCACCGTGTTAGCCAGGATGGTCTCGATCTCCTGACCTCGTGATCCGCCCGCCTCGGCCTCCCAAAGTGCTGGGATTACAGGCGTGAGCCACCGCGCCCGGCCTAAGAAAATATCTTAATTTTGTTTCCTTTTTCCTTTATCATGTGACAGAAGATTTATTGACTTCATGTCAGCATTTAAGTATTGTTAACTTTATGTAATAGCATTTGGGTTGGGGATTGGTGCAATTCCGGTTGTATGAAGGATAGTTGTATTATGTTAGGCACAATTATGACCTTATTATTGTCTTTATTTAAAGATTGTGTATGATCTCAGCAGATGTGTATGGATTCAAGTTGACAAGGGGTGAACTTGTGATGGTTAATACTGAGTGTCAACTTGATTGAAGGATGCAATGTATTGATCCTGGGTGTGTCTGTGAGGGTGTTGCCGAATGAGATTAACATTTCAGTCAGTGGGCTGGGGAAGGCAGACCCACCCTTAATCTGGGTAGGCACCATGTAATCAGCTGCCAGCATGGCCAGAATAAAAAGCAGAAAGAAAAGTGTGAAAAGGCTAGACTGGCTTAGCCTCCCAGTCTACATCTTTATCCCATGCTGGATGCTTCCTGCCCTCAAACATTGGACTCCAAGTTCTTCAGCTTTGGGACTTGAACTGGCTTCCTTGCTCCTCAGCTTGCAGATGACATATTGTGGGACCTTGTGATCGTGTGAGTTAATACTACTTAATAAACTCACACACACACACACACACACACACACACACACATATATATATATCTTATTAGTTATGTCTCTCTAGAGAACCCTGAATAACACAACTGTTTAAAACCTTCTTGTGGCATCTGATTGTCTAAATGTAAAGGGCAAAGTTTGCCAGCTTGGTATAGTAGGCCACCCATACTTCTTACCCTCACAACTTCTCCAGTCGTATATCTTGCTTATTTTCCCCCTTTTCTCATCACATTTTGAATTTATTTATGATTTCATGAAGGTCTTGTATGAATTCCTACTTTTATTCCTTTGCATACCTGTTTTCTCTACCTGGAATTCCACTTTTCTCCTCCATTACTTAGTCACCAGAGAAAGCCAATCAGTTGATGAAACTCATGACTTGGCGTTATCTCCTCTGAAGATCTTCCCTGAATTTCCAAATTAGAATGAATCATCCATTTTCTATCCTATCTCCTCTGAAGATCTTCCCTGAATCCCCAAATTAGAATGAATCATCCATTTTCTATCCTTCTTCTAAATCTTGTATGTATTCCTATTATTGCCTTTCTTATACTGCCAGATTATCAATTGTGTATACATTTGTTTTTTCTCTTATACTGAGTTCCTTGAAGGTAAATATCATGTTTATTATGCTTCTATTTCCAGTTGCCTCACCGAATTCTTGAACCATAATAATTAATAAATATTTGTAATTTAGCAATTAATTAATATGGATTTATATATTCTTTCTATTCAGTTTGTTTCTTTTGTTCTAGGAAACTCTTTATTCTCCAAGGAACCTTAATAATATATTTCATATGCTCCAGTCCTGTGCTAAGTTATCTGTATTCCCTAGGACCCCAATTTGAACTTTAATATGTATGCTTCCTGGTAGACAGCTTAATGTAAAAATTAGTGTTCTCACTTAACAAGTCAAGTGACGTTGGAGTGGAATTTAATTAGGTCAATGAGCTAATGTCTACTCTTCATAGAATATTCACATCTTTCAGACATTCCTTCTTATTTACCAAGCTAAGAGTTTTAAATTAATGAAGAAAAAGTCAATGGTTAATGTACTCGTTTATGATATTTTCTATTACTGCTTTGATAACTCAGAAAGTGTTTTTATATGTAAAACCAAATTTCATTTTCAAAACTACCCTGTGAATAAAATAGGGCAAATTTTACTTATAGAACTTCTAGTTAAGGAAAAGGTTGCATTCTGGCAGCTAGTTGAGATCTGGGAAAGGCTGGCTGGTCAGTTAGACACATGGTGACATTTTTTGTTGGGGAGAATTCTCTACATGTCGGGCTTTGGGTTAAGAATTCTGATGTTCCCACAAATGAAGAGGAGGATCAAAGTCTCAGAGGCAGTCTCACATTTATTAGTTTTTCAGTATCTGATCATTGAATCTAGAAGGAATTTTTAAAATTTAAATAAAAATAAAGTACTACCAGAACAGGGCACTCATATTCTCTAGTTAGTCCACTATCTTTTTGTAGACAAAGCTACAGGAGCTTCAAAATTACAATTGGAAGATGGCTTGAAAAGCATTATTGGGTCCAGACAGGGAAAGCATAAATGCCTGCCTCACCCATTTCCTCACAGATAAAGCTGCCATTAGAACAAGAGAGGTGACATCCCTGAAAATTGGCCTAAATGATCACATGATCACCCCAGTGTTGATTTCTCCTGTGCTGATCCTTTTTTATTTTTATTTTTCAAGGCTATTTGTTGTTGTTGTTGACAATCTGTATCAGTCAGGGTCCAGCCAGGGTATTAGAGGTATTCTGTGTATTTTAATAGAAGGAGATTTAAAACAGGGAATTGATTACATACATGATCATAGAATAGAGCACTGAAATAGGATACTGAAGTCTCTCAGAGATTAGCACTAGCAGGAAGCTGCTACCACTTCTAGGGTTGGGAGAACACTTGCTTCCATAATCTGGGAGCAAGGGCTATCCTGTGAGAGCCAGAAGCTGTGTTGGGTTTGGCTGTTGAGAGCTGTTACAGACGGAATCTGTTTATTAAGGAGCCATGGAAGAGATATAGCCACTGCAGAATGATACCACAGGAGGTAAAGAGAATGGAAGAAATATATTGTCCACTCCTCTCTCACCTTCAAATAGCCCTCCAGTGCTTCTCAATAGCTGGAAGTACTTGGGAGCCAGATATCAGAGATGAATATGAGATGAAACTATCATTGGCCAGATGTCTTCTTTCTTCAGACATGTTCAAAGGTTACATTTCATTAGCAGGCAACTTACATAATTGACTCTATTTAGTATTCTGAACTAGCAAGTTTGATCAGACTGATATACCTATCAAATTTTAGGGCCTCTATCAAATGAAATTTAAAAGAAATATACACAAGATTATGGGTCTGTTTCTTTCTCTAGAAGTGCATGTTCCAGGCCTTGAATAAACACTTTGTCTTTTGTTGTTGTTGTTAAGTTTGTGCATAAGTTTAGATCCAAGGAAGCACTGTTTTTCTAAAATTGACATCTTGTTCATGATAATAGAATGTAGAGCCTTTATTCAAGTTCTGAGAAGAAATCAGAGGAATATTAGTGGGAGGGCATTTTTAGTTGTATGAAAAATATAGTGTCTGTATGTGTGTGTTTGTGTGTGCTTTTCTATTATGTTTTAGTGGGACGTCAAAAGGATAGCTCATTTATATCTTATTTTTATTTATTTATTGCCTTGAGACAGAGTCCCACCCTGTCACCCAGTCTGGAGTGCAGTGGTGCAATCTTGGCTCACTGCAACCTCTGCCTCCCAGATTCAAGTGATTCTCCTGCTTCAGCCTCCTGAGTAGCTGGGATTACAGGCGCCCGCCACCACGCCCAGCTAATTTTTGTATTTTTAGTAGAGATGTGGTTTCACCATGTTGGCAAGGCTGGTCTCAAACTCCTGACCTCAGGTGATCCACCCACCTCGGCCTCTCAAAGTGCTGGGATTACAGGCATGAGCCACTGTGCCTGGCCTTATTTTTGAGGAAAGAAATATCAGTGTGTCTGTTCTGATACCTTATCATTATACTCTGTGGAAAGAAGTACAGAATATTTTAAATTACGATTGTCCATAATATCCTGGATGTATATAATCACTTTACTTAGAAGGCGAAAGGACTTTGAAGACTGTGTACCAGAGCTTGTGGGAGAGACAAAGGAAGAAACACAGAGCCTTGAAATAAGAAAAATGTGTGGTCAGCAGATTGGCTCCTATTTGTTACAGCCCTCTGTCAGATAAAGTGCTTTTGCCAAAATGTAAATGTACTGGGTCATTAAGAATATAATTTAGTTTGGCTGATATTTTGTATGCAGCAAGACTTTCCCCTGGAAGGAAGCAGCATGAGACTTTCAGTTTAGGGTAAGCTCTTATGTAACGTCACCTCAAACTATGGGAGGAAGCGAGGGAAGAGTAGAATCTCTGGAGCCAAGGGAAGGCTTGCCTTTTCCCATTTCAGTGAGCTGTAATTGAATGACTTTTTGTATTTGCATTGTTAAAGCTATCATCCCTTCGCTTCATTTATTGGTTCTGTTTTCTATCATAGCTAGAGGACTTCTATAAGTCCTCTTCCACCTCCACCCTAGGCCAAAATCCGAAATTCCTTTAATAATTCCTCCGTAATGCTTGATTTTCAGATCCTTCATCTTCTTTGTCACCATCATTAGAAAGTATATTTTAGTGAGGTTGAAATCAAAATGATGAACACATGCCTCTTACAGATGTAGATTAGCCAGTACAGAGAATCTGGGACTATTTTTTCCTGTACACGGTGCCTCTGTACCACAGTTCATGGTTTTATGTTTGTTGGTGATCATGTCTCAACTCTTAATGATGTTAAATGTACAGTTAACAAAAACTTCATCCTTTTGTATTTTCTTCACATGAACTAGGCTTAATTTAGATTTTCATCATATGGTGCATTTGTGAACACTTATTCATTTACCCTTGTTTATAAATGTCACAAAAATTATGGCAATTATTATTTAGAAAATAAACTTCTGTGTATTTCCGGAAAAGGTTTTTCAGCTTTACTGAAATCTCAACTTTCCTTTGTGTAAAATATAAATTATAATATCCATTTTACAAAATGTTTTGAAGAGGAATAATCTGTGGTTAATAATACTTTCAGTTCACAAATTCCCATATGCAGTGAATATCTACTATAATTGTTTAATCTGAAATCTGTGTTGCTCTTCATTGTGCTAGAGAGAAATAAAACAGTCATTCTTGAGGTCTGTAGAACTCAAAGAAGACGTGGGAAATTTTTATAAATTTGGAGAATACAGAGCTCCACTTGGAATGGCTAGACAGATGTGGGAATGATAGTTTGGGTAATTCAAGAGGAAGGGAGAGCAGGCATAAAAGGTGTTAGGCTGCAGAGCCAAGGTAGGTTTGATGACTAGAAATTATTCTATTGTGCTGGAAATATCAAGTGTGCATCAGAAGAAATAAGAGAGAAAAGTAAGATAGGAGTTGAATAATTTTTAGAACTATTTACTCAGACTGTGCTGGGCTTGAAGTGCTAGGCTGAGGAGGCAGATTCTAGTCCCTTTGCATTTAAAGGCTTTAGAGCCATTAAATTATTTCAAGGAATAGGTTATTATGGTTATCTGTATAATTTAATGAAACATAAAGGTAGCTGGAACAACCTTGTGTGGGTAGGCTTGGGAGGGCAGTGGCTGAAGTTAGGGGGCCCCATTAGGACACATTACAGTGGTCCAGGCAAGTGATACAGAAGGCCCACACTAGAGAGGTGATGAAGAGGGCATAAATGGTAAAGTGCTCGTCATTAAAATACGTGTCTTCATCATTAGTTTCTGTTTCTCCTACTTCAGGAAGTTGCTGACTAGAAAACCTTAGGGCTATCCTAAAGGGTCAGAGCTGTGCATTTCCTACATCCTACCAATCTTCTCTCTAACCTAGATCAGTAATGTTTTCTGACATAGTGAATGCAGCTATTAGAAAAAGTTAAATTATAATCAGAGTGTAGTGGGAATTAAGAAAGTAATCTCAACTTAGAATAAAGATAAAGCTGTATTTGGAACATACTCATTTTTTAAATAATCATTTTGTGCTTTTCTAATTTCATACTAAGTAGCTAGATAAGGTTAAATAAGTATAAATGGCATTTATGTATGTTATAATTAAAGATGACTAAATAATATAATTGGTTCTCATTAAGCTTTGAGACAAACAGAATATAGGTAAGGTAAATGAAGCAAGAGTTTAAATTATGTCCTGTGGCTACTGGTATTAAAATTGATAGAAGCCACAAAAATGTATGTACAATATGACCTTAATTAATGTTTGTAGCTTTGAAAATCACATCCAAAACTTAAAAAAAAAATAAGACCTTCCATGTTGATATGGTTTGGCTATTGTCCACCCAAATCTCATCTTGAATTGTAGCTCCTATAATCACCACATGTCATGGCAGGGACCCCATGGGAGGTAATTGAATCATGGGGGCTGGTTTTTCTTGTGCTTTTCTCATGATATTGAATAAATCTCACAAGATGTGATGGTTTTACAAAGGGGCAGTTCCTCTGTACACGTTCTCTTGCCTGCTGCCATGTAAGATGTGACTTTGCTCCTCCTTCACCTTCCACCATGATTTTGAGGCCTCCCCAGCTATGTGGAACTGTGAGTCCATTAAACCCTTTTCCTTTATAAATTACCCAGTCTCAGTTATGCCTTTATTAGCAGCATGGGAACGACTAATACACATGTGTAATGTGTTTTATAGCTTCAAAAACACACCCATGGCTGTTCTCTTTCGATATTCAGAATGATTCTGCCAGGAAGGCACTTATTATTTTGCCAAACAGAGACTTTGAAGAGGTTAAGTGAATTTCATAGCTATTTGCCAAGTTGGTAAATAACAACTATTAGAAGTTGACACTTTTTTCTCATTCTTTTTGCGATATTTTTTTGTACTATGCCATATTACCTAAGTTATTATATTGGTCAAGATAGACTAAATTTCCATGACTCAGAACAAATAACCTTTATTTTTTATTTAATTTTCTCACATTTGTCCATTGAATGCTACCTAGGGGCTCTGCTTTGTGTTTTTTCAATTCAGAATACTGAATCAACAGAGGAGCCCTGCTCTGTGGCAAGGCCAGTCATCATGACAGAGGGAAAAAGAACATGGCAAAGCCTATACAGACCTTGAAAGCTTCTGCCTTCAGTGACCCACAATACTAACGTCTCCATGTCATTGATCAAAGTAAATCAAACAGCTATATCTAGCTCAGGTGAACAAGGGTATACAATCCTTCTATTTGTCCAGAAAGAGAGACAGACAGATGAAATATTTGTAAACTTCTTGATTATAATTACAGTTGTTAAAAGTCAAAGCTTAAAAATTAATAAAAATTTAAGGAATTAACATGTTAGTATTTAAAAAATACTTTTTATTCAAAGCTTATATATGAAGGTTTTTCTGTGTATATTTTTTAACGAGCACAATTTCTTGGCAACTCAGTATGGGCATTTCCAAAGTGAAAACTATGTAATGCTGAACCTTGGAGATGCTCTGTATAAGTTTTGAAATACTACATAGCTAACACTACATACCAGCTTCATTCTTGGAGAGCCACAGTGTACATTAGCATTTAAAGCACAACTGGGGAAAAATATCACTAAAGAAGCCAAAGGCTAAATAAATTATATTCGATAAATGGGATGTGATGTTATGTAGTTATTAGAGATATATTTTTGAAGAGTTTTCATTGCATTGAAAAATGTTTCTGATTTAAGTTTAAAGTCAATAAAGCCTGATAAATTTCAAAAAGACTAGTAAATCCAGTGAAGTTCTCAACTCATTTGAAGACACCTCTTCATGTGTATGTGCGCAGCACTCACTGGTATCCTGAAAGCATGGTATTTTGGAAAATACTGCTTTAAATTGTTCTTTAATATCTGCCTTTTCCTTAATATGTCAGCAAGTCCATTCAGAGTTATGTTTTCCTGAGTTTTAGGTGGCAAAGATTAACCTTTCAGGAACTCAGATTCCTCATTTATAAAATGGGTTTAATAGTTCCTGTGAGGATTAAAGAAACAATATATGTAAAGTACTCACCAGTAGGCAGTTAGTTTTGATATTTCTTTCTGCTCTTTCTTTCTTTCTTTTTTTTTTTTTTTTGAGATAGAATCTCGTTCTGTCACCCAGGCTGGAGTGTAGTGGTGCAATCTCGGCTCACTGTAATCTCTGCCTCCTGGGTTCAAGTGATTCTCCTGCCTCAGCCTCCTGAGCAACTGGGACCACAGATGCACGCCACCATGCCCGGCTAATTTTTTTTTTAAATCTTATTATTATTATACTTTAAGTTTTAGGGTACATGTGCACAACGCGCAGGTTTGTTACATATGTATACATGTGCCATGTTGGTGTGCTGCACCCATTAACTCGTCATTTAGCATTAGGTATATCTTCTCATGCTATCCCTCCCCACTCCCCCCACCCCACAACAGTCCCCAGTGTGTGATGTTCCCCTTCCTGTGTCCATGTGTTCTCATTGTCCAATTCCCACCTATGAGTGAGAATAAGTGGTGTTTGGTTTTTTGTCCTTGTGATAGTTTGCTGAGAATGATGGTTTCCAGTTTCATCCATGTCCCTACAAAGGACATGAACTCGTCATTTTTTATGGCTGCATAGTATTCCATGGTGTATATGTGCCACATTTTCTTAATCCAGTCTATCATTGTTGGACATTTAGGTTGGTTCCAAGTCTTTGCTATTGTGAATAGTGCCGCAATAAACATACGTGTGCATGTGTCTTCATAGCAGCATGATTTATAATCCTTTGGGTATATACCCAGTAATGGGGTGGCTGCGTCAAATGGTGTTTCTAGTTCTAGATCCCTGAGGAATCGCCACACTGACTTCCACAATGGTTGAACTAGTTTACAGTCCCACCAACAGTGTAAAAGTGTTCCTATTTCTCCACATCCTCTCCAGCACCTGTTGTTTCCTGACTTTTTAATGATCTCCATTCTAACTGGTATGAGATGGTATCTCATTGTGGTTTTGATTTGCATTTATCTGATGGCCAGTGATGATGAGCATTTTTTCATGTGTTTTTTGGCTGCATAAATGTCTTCTTTTGAGAAGTGTCTGTTCATGTCCTTCGCCCACTTTTTGATGGGGTTGTTTGTTTTTTTCTTGTAAATTTGTTTGAGTTCATTGTAGATTCTGGATATTAGCCCTTTGTCAGATGAGTCGGTTGCAAAAATTTTCTCCCATTCTGTAGGTTGCCCGTTCACTCTGATGGTAGTTTCTTTTGCCGTGCAGAAGCTCTTTAGTTTAATTAGATCCCATTTGTCAATTTTGGCTTTTGTTGCCATTGCTTTTGGTGTTTTAGACATGAAGCCCTTGCCCATGCCTATGTCCTGAATGGTATTGCCTAGATTTTCTTCTAGGGTTTTTATGGTTTTAAGTCTAACATTTAAGTCTTTAATCCATCTTGAATTAATTTTTGTATAAGGTGTAAGGAAGGGATCCAGTTTCAGCTTTCTACATATGGCTAGCCAGTTTTCCCAGCACCATTTATTAAATAGGGAATCCTTTCCCCATTGCTTGTTTTTGTCAGGTTTGTCAAAGATCAGATAGTTGTAGATATGTGGCATTATTTTTGAGGGCTCTGTTCTGTTCCATTGGTCTATATCTCTGATTTGGTACCAGTACCATGCTGTTTTGGTTACTGGGGCCTTGTAGTATAGTTTGAAGTCAGGTAGTGTTATGCCTCCAGCTTTGTTCTGTTGGCTTAGGATTGACTTGGCGATGCGGTCTCTTTTTTGGTTCCATATGAACTTTAAAGTAGTTTTTTCCAATTCTGTGAAGAAAGTCATTGGTAGCTTGATGGGGATGGCATTAAATCTATGAATTACCTTGGGCAGTATGGCCATTTTCATGATATTGATTCTTCCTACCCATGAGCATGGAATGTTCTTCCATTTGTTTGTATCCTCTTTTATTTCATTGAGCAGTGGTTTGTAGTTCTCCTTGAAGAAGTCCTTCACGTCCCTTGTAAGTTGGATTCCTAGGTGTTTTATTCTCTTTGAAGCAATTGTGAATGGGAGTTCACTCATGATTTGGCTCTCTGTTTGTCTGTTATTTGTGTATAAGAATGCTTGTGATTTTTGCACATTGATTTTGTATCCTGAGACTTTGCTGAAGTTGCTTATCAGCCTGAGGAGATTTTGTGCTTAAATGATGGGGTTTTCCTGATATACAATCATGTCATCTGCAAACAGGGACAACTTGACTTCCTCTTTTCCTAATTGAATACCCTTTATTTCCTTCTCCTGCCTGATTTCCCTGGCCAGAACTTCCAACACTATGTTGAATATGAGTGGTGAGAGAGGGCATCCCTGTCTTGTGCCCGTTTTCAAAGGGAGTACTTCCAGTTTTTGCCCATTCAGTATGATATTGGATGTGGGTTTGTCATAGATAGCTCTTATTATTTTGAGATACGTCCCAATACCTAATTTATTGAGAGTTTTTAGCATGAAGGGCTGTTGAATTTTGTCAAAGGCCTTTTCTGCATCTATTGAGATAATCATGTGGTTTTTGTCTTTGGTTCTGTTTATATGGTGAATTACATTTATTGATTTGCATATGTTGAACCAGCCTTGCATCCCAGGGATGAAGCCCACTCGATCATGGTGGATAAGCTTTTTAATGTGCTGCTGGATTCGGTTTGCCAGTATTTTATTGGGGATTTTTGCGTTGATGTTCCTCAAGGATATTGGTATAAAATTCTCTTTTTTTGTTGTGTCTCTGCCAGGCTTTGGTATCAGGATGATGCTGCCCTCATAAAATGAGTTAGGGAGGATTCCCTCTTTTTCTGTTTGATTGGAATGGTTTCAGAAGGAATGGTACCAGCTCCTCTTTGTACCTCTGGTAGAATTCAGCTGTGAATCCATCTGGTCCTGGACTTTTTTTTGGTTGGTAAGCTATTGATTATTGCCTCAATTTCAGAGCCTGTTATTGGTCTATTCAGAGATTCAACTTTTTTCCTGGTTTAGTCTTGGGAGCATATATGTGTTGAGGAATGTATCCATTTCTTCTAGATTTTCTAGTTTATTTGCGTAGAGGTGTTTGTAGTATTCTCTGATGGTAGTTTGTATTTCTGTGGGATCAGTGGTGATATCCCCTTTATCATTTTTTATTGTGTCTATTTGTTTCTTCTCTCTTTTCTTCTTTATTAGTCTTGCTAGCAGCCTATCAATTTTGTTGATCTTTTCAAAAAACCAGCTCCTGGATTCATTAATTTTTTGAAGGGTTTTTTTGTGTCTCTATTTCCTTCATTTCTGCTCTGATCTTAGTTATTTCTTGCCTTCTGCTGGCTTTTGAATGTGTTCGCTCTTGCTTTTCTAGTTCTTTTAATTGTGATGTTAGGGTATCAATTTTAGATCTTTCCTGCTTTCTCCTGTGGGCATTTAGTGCTATAAATTTCCCTCTACACACTGCTTTGAATGTGTCCCAGAGATTCTGGCATGATGTATCTTTGTTCTCATTGGTTTCAAAGAATATCTTTATTTCTGCCTTCATTTCATTATGTACCCAGTAGTCATTCAGGAGCACGTTGTTCAGTTTCCATATAGATGAGCGGTTTTGAGTGAGTTTCTTAATCCTGAGTTCTAGTTTGATTGCTCTGGGGTCTGAGAGACAGTTTGTTATAATTTCTGTTCTTTTCCATTTGCTGAGGAGTGCTTTACTTCCAACTATGTGGTCAATTTTGGAGTAGGTGTGGTGTGGTGCTGAAAACAATGTATATTCTGTTGATTTTGGGTGGAGAGTTCTGTAGATGTCTGTTAGGTCCGCTTGGTGCAGAGCTGAGTTCAATTCCTGGGTATCCTTGTTAACTTTCTGTCTCGTTGATCTGTCTAATGTTGACAGTGGGGTGTTAAAGTCTCCCATTATTATTTTGTGGGAGTCTAAGTCTCTTTCTATGTCACTAAGGACTTGGTTTATGAATCTGGGTGCTCCTGTATTGGGTGCATATATATTTAGCATAGTTAGCTCTTCTTGTTGAATTGATCCCTTTACCATTATGTGATGGCCTTCTTTGTCTTTTTTGATCTTTGTTGGTTTAAAGTCTGTTTTATCAGAGACTAGGATTGCAACCCCTGCCTTTTTTTGTTTTCCATTTGCTTGGTAGATCTTCCTCCATCCCTTTATTTTGAGCCTATGTGTGTCTCTACACGTGAGATGGGTTTCCTGAATACAGAGCACTGATGGGTCTTGACTCTGTCCAATTTGCCAGTTGTGTCTTTTAATTGGAACATTTAGCCCATTTACGTTTAAAGTTAATATTGTTATGTGTGAATTTGATCCTGTGTTTATGATGTTAGCTGGTTATTTTGCTCATTAGTTGATGAGGTTTCTTCCTAGCCTTGATGGTCTTTACAATTTGGCATGTTTTTGCAGTGGCTGGTACCGGTTGTTCCTTTCCATGTTTAGAGCTTCCTTCAGGAGCTCTTTTAGGGCAGGCCTGGTCGTGACAAAATCTCTCAGCATTTGCTTGTCTGTAAAGTATTTTATTTCTCCTTCACTTATGAAGCTTAGTTTGGCAGGATATGAAATTCGGGGTTGAAAATTCTTTCCTTTAAGAATGTTGAATATTGGTCCCCACTCTCTTCTGGCTTGTAGAGTTTCTGCCGAGATATCAGCTGTTAGTCTCATGGGCTTCCCTTTATGGGTAACCCGACCTTTCTCTCTGGCTTCCCTTAACATTTTTTCCTTCATTTCAACTTTGGTGAATCTGACAATTATGTGTCTTGGAGTTGCTCTTCTTGAGGAGTATCTTTGTTGCGTTCTCTGTATCTCCTGAATTTGAATGTTGGCCTACCTTGCTAGATTGGGGAAGTTCTCCTGGATAATATCCTGCAGAGTGTTTCCCAACTTGCTTCCATTCTCCCCGTCACTTTCAGGTACACTTATCAGACACAGATTTGGTCTTTTCACATAGTCCTATATTTATTGGAGGTTTTTATCATTTCTTTTTATTCTTTTTTCTCTAAACTTCTCTTCCCGCTTCATTTCATTCATTTCGTCTTCCATCACTGATACCCTTTCTTCCAGTTGATCGCATTGGCTACTGAGGCTTCTGCATTCATCACGTAGCTCTCATGCCTTGGTTTTCAGCTCCATCACGTCCTTTAAGGACTTCTCTGCATTGGTTATTCTAGTTATCCATTCGTCTAATTTTTTTCAAAGATTTTAACTTCTTTGCCATTGGTTCGAATTTCCTTTTGTAGCTCAGAGTAGTTTGATCATCTGAAGACTTCTTCTCTCAACTCATCAAAGTCATTCTCCATCCAGCTTTGTTCCATTGCTGGTGAGGAGCTGCGTTCCTTTGGAGGAGGAGAGGCGCTCTGATTTTTAGAGTTTCCAGTTTTTCTGCTTTGTTTTTTTTTCCCATTTTTGTGGTTTTATCTACCTTTGGTCTTTGATGATGGTGATGTACAGATGGGTTTTTGGTGTGGATGTCCTTTCTGTTTGTTAGTTTTCCTTCTAACAGACAGGACCCTCAGCTGCAGGTCTGTTGGAGCTCGCTAGAGGTCCACTCCAGGCCCTGTTTGCCTGGGTATCAGCAGCGGTGGCTGCAGAACAGTGTATATTGGTGAACTGCAAATGCTGCTGCCTGATCGTTCCTCTGGAAGTTTTGTCTCAGAGGAGTACCTGGCCATGTGAGGTGTCAGTCAGCCCCTACTGGGGGATGCCTCCCAGTTAGGCTACTTGGGGATCAGGGACCCACTTGAGGTAGTCTTCCTGTTCTCAGATCTCAAGCTGCATGCTGGGAGAACCACTACTCTCTTCAAAGCTGTCAGACAGGGACATTTAAGTCTGCAGAGGTTACTGCTGTCTTTTTGTTTGTCTGTGCCCTGCCCCCAGAGGTGGAGCTGACAGAGGCAGGCAGGCCTCCTTGAGCTGTGGTGGGCTCCACTCAGTTCGAGCTTCCCGGCCACATTGTTTACCTAGTCAAACGACTAACTGGGCAATGTTGGGTGCCCCTCCCCCAGCCTCACTGCTGCCTTGCAGTTTGATCTCAGACTGCTGTGCTAGCAATGAGTGAGACTCCGTGGGCGTAGGACCCTCCGAGCCATGTGCGGGATATAATCTCCTGGTGTGCCATTTTTTAAGTCCATTGGAAAAGCACAGTATTAGGGTGGGAGTGACCCGATTTTCCCGGTGCCGTCTGTCACCCCTTTCTTTGACTAGGAAAGGGAATTCCCTGACCCCTTGTGCTTCCCAGGTGAGGTGATGCCTGTCCCTGCTTTGGCTTGCACACGGTGCGCTGCACCCACTGTCCTGCACCTACTGTCTGGCACTCCCCAGTGAGATGAACCCAGTAACTCAGTTGGAAATGCAGAAATCACCCATCTTGTGCATCACTCACGCTGGGAGCTGTAGACAGGAGCTGTTCCTATTCGGCCATCTTGGCTCCTCCCCCACCCTTTTTTTTTTTTTTTTTTTTAATGAAGATGAGGTTCACCATATTGGCCAGGCTGGTCTTGAACCCCTGACCTCAGGTGATCCACCCACCTCGACTTCACAAAGTGCTGGGATTATAGGCGTGAGCCACCGCACCCAGCTGCTTTCTCTTTTCCACTTACGTATTAGGAAAATTAAAGAATATAAAATGATTTTTCATATTTATTTAATGAAAATAGTCTGTGTTTCTTAAAGCTAGCCATCAAAACAGTGATAGAATAAGCTGTTACACACTTTAATTTTGCTAACTTCTTGTAGGGAACATTAGGAGCAGAGAACACTGAGCCAACAGAGTGTGGAAGTCATGATTCCAGGTATTAGCATGTGTCAAAGAGAGTGAAAGCTAAAGGACTTTTGTCAGCAAGGCTGACTGCCACTTTCTATAATGAAGGCACATTTCCTAAATGGACCTTGAGCAGTTCCCACAGCAGGCAATCAGAAACATCCAAATTTAACATCCCATTTAGGTTTGCTGCATGCTAGCCTATCTTTCTTGGTAACAAGAAAGGAAAATTATTTGTCAGTATAAGGACTGCTTGTTAAAACTCATTTTTAAGTGGATTTACCTTTGGGGCATGTAAAATGAAGAAGAGGCTTTTTTTTGGGTCTTTGAGAAAATTGATCCAAATAATTATAACAGACAAAGGCAGCCTCCTCAATGGATGCAATGAAGCAAAGTCAAAATAATACAAATAAATAGAAGATAATGAAAATGTTAGAAAGTGAAAGCTTTTCGGTTGTACACCTTCCTAGAATGGGGGAATAGGGCTGTAAAACTCTCCTATTCTGGAATCAACTTTGTATTTCCAGGTTTGGCCCAGAAGCAGTTTATTCTGAGGTGTAAGAAAGAATGCCTGTTTTCTATCTATGTCATACCTGGGCCATTGAGACCAGGAGGAAGAAGGCTGGTCATGAAACCCATTTAAGGATTGCATTAATCTGCGAAACTGATCCAGGGAGTTCAGATTTAATCTTCTGTTATGCAGTAAACCTATGATAGTTTGTAAAACTTCCCCACCTTTATGTAGGATAGTGTGAAAGTGTGGTATGTGGGGTGATTGGCAAGAATTATTTCTTTTCAGAAGCACCCTACTCTTGATTGTCTGTAGACCAGTAGATATAGGGATCTTCTTCTGGCTTTTTGATTTTGTCCATAAATTATCATCTGCAATGGACTTCTATCTGTTTCCACAAAAAAGCTTTCTTAGAAATCAGGCATCTTCATGAGTTCTACTGAGTTCAGGAGTGATTTTCAAATGCTAATTATAGGCCTGTTCCCTGGAGCTGAAGGTTGATAGAACCAAATATAGAGTAGACATTATTTCCACTCAGTGTAAAATTGATGAAGAGCATATCATAATATTAATAGCTGCAAATGACTAGAAAATGTGAACCTTGTTCTAACATGAGACACTCCAAGATTAGCACAGAAAGCATAAACCAAGAAATCTGGCATGTGACTTGGTGACTTACAAATTATTGCCCATTCATTTATTGTTTCATTTATTCTGCCATTCATCAGACATTTGCTAAGACCATACTGTGTATGGTCCCAGTACACAGTAGAACACATAGGAGACAGGCTTACAGCAAAATCCACAAATTTCAGGACAGGCTGACTTGGATCCACAACCTAAGTAATCCTTATTTTTTTTTAACCACTCTATGCCTTAGGTTTTCTACATATAAAAGGAAGAAATTAATATGGTGACATGGTTTTATTAGTGAATTTATTAGTAACATAATATAATTAAAACCATCTAGCAAACAGTAGTATCACACAATACTTGTTAAATCTCTTTGCTCTGTGATCGGTTTTCCTTATAATTCTGAAAATGATATTGTTATGGCGTGGTTCCTGACCTTGAATAACTGAGACCGATGCTAGTCAAAAATACAGACAGCTGTCATTCTGCTCTGTACTTCTATGAGATCATCTTTTTTAGATTCCACATATGGTTAGGGAGATTCTGGTCAAAAGATGCACAATTCTCATTAGAAGGAAAAAATTCAAGAAATATTGTACAAGTTGACAGTATTAATAACAATATATTATATTCTTGAAATATGTTAAGAGAGTAGATCTGAAATGTTCCCACCACAAAATGATAGCTTTGTGAGGTAATACATGCATTAGCTAGGTTTGGCTATTCTACTATATATTACAAAATATCATGTTGTACATGATAAATACATATAATTTTATCTGCCTGTTTATAAATTATTTTAAAAATTTCATAATAACTATAATAAAATACAGAAAGTCTTTCAAATAGATTACCAGAGGTATTTACTATAAGAACACAGAGATACATGTGTTATATACGAGGGTAGTGAACATATCTGTCTCATATAGTTTTAGAATCCCCAATGCTTACCAAAATTTCTGGCACTTAGTGCTTTTTAGTAAATGTTGAGTAGATGACTGAGTCTGCAAGAGGTTGAGATCTAGGGCTACATCGTTCCCAATGAGAGAGAAATGATACCTTGTAAAAAAGATGTTGAGGTTGGGAATCTGGGACACAGATTCTGAGACCTAGATTCATGTGCAGAAAGTTTATTAGAGTGGTCTAGGCATTAGCAGGCACAGGGAAAGGAAAGAAGGCAGGATTTGGCAGAGAGAAAAGTTGAGTTGTGAAACATTCATGGTGAAAAATTTGGCCAAATCCACTGCAGCACAGAAGGTAAAATGGGTTTTTAGCTTTCCAGAGGACCCTTGCATTGACCAGATACGTGGGCTACCCTTGGAAAGTGGGTACCTTTAGCTGAGGGAAATTCCTGAACAGGTATAACACCTGAGGGCTCGTTAAACAGGCTTCTGAGCCACAAAGAAAATGTGCCTTTATTACTGAAATAGCATCTGTGGTTGCAATGCTGTGTCCACTATAGTTAATTCTTCTTCTTCACAAAATATGGTAAGAGCTACTCTAGGATATTGATATACCTCTTTTCCTGTAAAAAATTATAAAAAGAAGGTTATTAGGATAACTACAGATTTCGCTCCTGCAGTTTAACTTCATAAGTAATATCCTCAAGTAATTACCTAAGTGGGTCACCTGCATGCCAAATATATTTCCCCTTCCCCCACTGCATAGCAACAGCCTTATTTCCTCTGTTGATCAGTGTCAGTAAACTTTTCCTGAATAGTGACTCTTGTCTGCTGGACCTTTGGCATAATATGGATCTTGTAGTGCCTGGGTAGCAGCCATATCTTAAAATTCAATGGGACATCTGGTCTAAAGTAGCAGCAAAAAGATTTACAAGAAAGACAAGTACAAATTACCCAAGTGGGCCACTCTGTGATCCTGGACCCATGTATTCTACCTGTTGGAGTCATGGCACCATATGATAAGTACCATTTAGAGTATACAATGCATTCCGGAGGATGGTACCCCATCTTTTTGATGTTTGATTCTCGAACTGTTCTGCAACTTTGCCTTCGACAGGCCATTCTATTGCTATGTCAGGACAGCAGTTTCTGGTTGGTGAGGTTTGTGATAGGACTAGCAGATTTCATTGTGAGATGCCCACCGCCCATGTCTGCTGTAAAATATGTTCTTTGGTCTAATATGATGTTATGTGAGATTCTGTGTCAGTGGGTCAAACACTTTGTAAGCCCTTTGATGGTGATGCAGGTAGAAGCCCTGCATTATGAAAAGCAAACTCCTATATGGCATACGTGCTGATTCCAGCCAAATGATTCACTGTCCCTTCCAGAGTGGAAGAAATTCACTGGAATTTCTTGGAAGTGGAAATGTGGGTAACTTGCTGTCAAGTGTCTGTTTGGTCTTCTTAAGGAATGGTGCTGCATCAGAGACACATTGTTCCATGTGGTTGCCACCATGGTGCTGCTTTGTCTGAGCCCATATGAATCCTTCAGGTTTTCTTTCTTGCTTCTGTGCCTAGAAACAGAGAAACATAGGAATATTTTGCCAGTCTGGTAATACTGCTCCCTAAATTTCTAACCCCCTTCAGTATGCTATTAGGTCATGCGCTTGTCTTCAAAAATATAAGAAAGTAGGACAGATCTGTTGTCAGATAAAACTCCTTTTTCATTTTCCCAGTCTAGGAAAATGTTGTCTTCCTTCTCTCTCTTGCTTCTTTCTAGAACTAATTTTCTTTTTACCTTGTCTTGAAGGCATCCAAAATAATTCCCTCAATGAGTTTGTGCCTACGCAAATAAAGGAATAGTTCTGCACTTCCAACTGCTTTCAATTTTAGTTCTGGAAAAAAGAAGTTCCAGAGGCAGGGAAATAATAAGGGCCTGGAGAACTTATTGGAGAAAGGGGGGAAAAAAAGCAAACAAAATATAAGTAAATTCATCAGAATTGTTTGTCAGTTGCCTTCATCTACAGCACTCTAGCGCTATTAATCCAATAAAGGGGAGAGGTTCAGGGAGAATGGCATAGTTGAGTGAGGTGACAGAGTATGGTCATGTACCAGCACAATTAGAATGAGAGATTTTAGGTGCCCTAACGGTTCCGAAGATTACCTAATCCAACTATTTCTTTTTATACAAGGACAATCAGTCTCAGTGGTGGAACTAGGGACTAGGGCTTTTAATTACTAGCCCAATCTCCATTTCTATTCCTTATTTTCATGCCTTAGATGACTTCTTTTTCTTGTCCAAAACTTGGAGAAGAGAGGCCTGTTAAATTCTTGGCAGGTTGACTGTGAAATTCATGTTGCAATCAATTTAAGGTGTGGATATTTTTTTTCCCTGCATGTACATTACTACCAGACCACAATGAACTGTGAGATGTGATCTGCAATCATAGATCAAACTGGAAATACTGAACAAAGGCAGTTTGTTTAGTGAAAATGAATGTATAGGTGGTGCTATGTACTGACAAAAAGCTCTTTTTCCCTCCCCATTTCCTGCTGAAGGTGAAAGCTAAAGCATATTAAAAAGTGACCCTTTGAAGCCAGGAATGTTAGCCTTCCCAAACTTGATAAGAATATTTAATTTCTTTAACATCAGGCTGTGTTTAAAGAAAGTATAATTCAGACATTAAGAGACCAGGTAAATGGCTCCAGGGCTCTTTCTGTTTCTTCCTTACCTGCCAGGATTTTTGGCGTAGCATCAGATAGCACTGTATACCCCATCCCAGATGCCCGTCCAGGGAACGGATGTTATAAAGAGGCTGCCTTCTGTTCTGATTAGCTGACTGACAAATGAAGACTATCTGGCAATGCCATCTTCATTCTCACACTAAAATTACAGTGTGAACATGCAAAGATAGGCATACGGAGCATACGTTTGTATGTTTTTGCAGATCCAGATTCCATTCATGCTTCTTCTAATATTAGAACTGAATTTCCCTTTGGGGAAATAATATCTTCTCCATTATGTATAGTCTGGGTAGTGCTTTCCATTGATGCATTCTGTACAATCCTATGAAAATGGTAGATGCATAACTCAGGCTCAGCCAAAACTCTCTCCAGGATTTTAATCTTTGGTGTCATGACATAGGACAGAAAAATGAATGGAGCTGATTCACCTAAGAGACTGCCTCATTCTAGCACAAAATCTCCTAGTAGATAGCTCTGTAGTCATAGAAATATTGTATACCTGTGCTGCCTAATGCGGTAGCCACTAGCCACATGAGACTACTGAGAACATGAAATAGAGCTAATGTAACTAAGGAACTGAATTTTTAATTATATTTATTCCAGTTAATTAAAATTAAAATTGAAATAGCCACAATTTGGTATTGGTTTCTGCTCTGGACAGCACAGCTCTAGCAGAGTTCTCTGAAGAAATCATGCACTGGCCCACACTAGTTGGATATCTGGGGCTGCTCTGTTTTTTTTTTTTTTTTTTTTTTTTTTAAATCTCTTTCTAAACCTGGTTCTAGCTATTTGTTTGATTCTGCGAGCTACCCTAACCCAATTTGTTACAATAATTTCCTCCTTTTCCTAGTAGCTACAGTTAATTTTGTTTGTTTAACTCTAAATAAAGAACTTAAGTTGAGAAAACTCGTTAATGTAGTGATGTATCGACAATATGTTAAGTACCTATATATGTCAAGGAATATATATGGTAGTCTCTGGGGATAAAACATTTATGTATAAATAAATATCATCCTTACCATTCAGGAGCTGAGACTAACGAAGAAGACAGAAATATTAACAGTTAGTGATAACGCCATGAGATCAATTAGAACTTTGAAAAGGATTTTAGGATCACAGAGAAGAAGTCTCATTAATACAGTGCTGTAGATTGAATAGTGGTCTCCAAAATGATGTGTACACCAGTACACATGACTGTGACCTTATGTGAAAATAGTCTTTGCTGATGAAGTTAAGAATCTACAGATGATATTATGTTAGATTTTGGGTGGAACTTAGATTCAATGCTGACTGTTCTTATCAAAGATACCCAGAAGAACAATACAAAGAGAAGAGTGGATGGTCTGTAAAGATGGAGAAAGAGATTGGTCTTATGCTGTCATAATCCAAGGAATGCCAGGAGCCACCAAAAGATGGAAAGGGCAAAATGGGTTCTCCCCTAGAGACTTTGGAAGAATCATGGCCCTGCTGATGCTTTGCTTTCAGACTTCTGGCCTCCAGAATTGTGAGGTAATAATTTTGTTTTTAGTCAAGAAGTTTATGGTAATTTGTTATGACAACCTTAGAAATCTAACATAGATAGCAAGATGTTCTAGTCAAGCTCTAGTATTGGAACCCTGCCTCAAACCCAGCCATCTGTGTTGTCCTCTGGATAGCTGGCCTAGATTCTGTCTGTTTTTTCAGGGATGCTAGACTGTCTTCCTTCTACCTTCAGCTGTTAGGTAGGGTTCTGTTGCAACATAGACGGGATGCATTTATCTTATCTTTGGGTATTGTCCTTTCAACTGTAAGCTCCACAAGGGAAGGGATCTTTGTTTATTTTTTTTCCCACAATATTTTCAGCACCTAGAAGAGTACCCAGCATACACTAAGTTTTAAATATTTAGTTGAATGAATGAATAAATACATAAATGAAGATTATTTCTGCTAAGTCCTTCCTTTTGACATTACCAAACTCCTCTTCCTCCTGCCACATACACTTTTGATATTAGTGATAATCTTGGTAATAATCAAATTCACTCTTCTTCCTGGGTGAATCATATTTAGATTGCTGGTTACTATTTACCTGGAAGGGGCACAGTCATCAAATTGACTTGGTCACTCTTACTCCAATCCCAGATGGTTCATAGATTCTGCCACCCCTCTCACCAGTTGAAGTATTCTGAAAAGAGTAAGGAAAAAAACATTGTTGGATTGCATTGAAATAATGACATCTTTGTGAAAACTCAGGATTTTTTTTTTTTTGCTATGTTTAAACAGATTGCTTTGATCAATATATTGTCAAACTAATGCCAAATTCATCTTAGGCTTTCTACAGCCTCAAGCATAATCTCAGATTTAAATTACATCATGCTTTATGCATCATGTCACAAAATTCATACATTAAATTCCCTGCACTATATTTTAGGAGGAGGGCTTCAGATTCCTATTAGGTCTTTTTGACACTTCTTTAACATATTCTTCTAGAAAGTTTGATTGTCTTTCTTTTTCTCAGCTATAAGGGATTTATGTAACAAGTTGCAATGACTGCTAGAGGTAACAATAAATGTCACAGCCTGATACGGAGAGAAGAGGCAGTTACAAAATAAATGCACCCACAAAAGACAATGTATAACAGAGAGAGAATCAATTCAAGGAAGGCATAAATTGTTTGACATCCCTCAGTGATCTACAATACATTGTGCTGGTACCATAATTATTAGGGATATACGAATTAAAACCACAATGAGATATCACCTCACTTGTACCTGTTAGGATGGCAATTATCAAAAAGTCAAAAGATAACGAATGATGAGAATGTGAATAAAAGGAAACTCTTATACATTGTTGGTGGGAATGTAAATTGGTATAGTCATATGTAAGATAATATGGATGTTTCTCAAAAAAAAAATAAAAATAGAACTGTGATATAACCCACCAATCCCACTTCTGGATATTAATCCAAAGGATATGAAATCAGCATGTCAAATGGATATCTGCCTTTCCATGTTCATTGCAGCCTTATTAAAAGTAGCCAAGATATGGAATCAACCTAAATGCCTCTCAACAGAAGAATATATTAAAAATGTGGTGTATATATACATAATAGAATACTATTTAGCCTCATAAAAGAAGAAAAACATGTCATTTCTGATGGATGAACTTGAAAGACATCATAGTAAGTGAAATAAGCCAGACACAGAAACAAATGCAGCATGATCTCACTTACATATGGAATCCAAAAAAGTAAATCTTATAAAAGTAGACAGTAGAGTGGTAGTTAGCAGAGGCTGGTAGGGTAGGAGAATTAGGAAGATATTGGTCAAATGATACAAAATTTCAGTTAGAAAGGAATAATAAGTTCAAGAGATCTATTGTACATGTTGGAGACTACAGTTAATGAAAATATATTGTACACCTGATAATAGATAATACAGTGTTTTCACCATAAAAACAAGTATGTGAAATAAAACATTTTCCAATTAGCTTGACTTAGCCATTCCACAATGTATACATATATCAAAACATCGTGTTGTACACCCTAAATATATGCAAGGTTTATTTGTCGAGAAAAAGGTAATGTACAAAATTTTAGCTAGAAGGAATGAGTTCAAGAGATCTATTTTGTAACATGGTGACTACAGGTATAAGAATATATTGTATTCTTGAAAAGTGCTGAGAGTAGATTTTACATGTTCTCACCATAAAAACAACAACTTTCTGATGTAATGCATCAGAAAGATTTAGACATTCCACAATGTTTGTGTATGTGCATGTATGTGTGTATAAACATGTTGTAGATAATATGTACAATTGTTTCTGTCCAAAAAAACAAAAAAGTATGGAGGAGTTAAAAAGAATGCCACAAACTCATTAGTTAAAAACAAAATAGTGCTTGAAATGGCAAATCTTACCTTATGTGGTTGATTCCCTTAAGTGTTGATGCTGGGATAGGATGGGAAGCTTCAAGAGCTCCATGACCATCAGCAGGCCTCCCAGGTGTGAAGACTGACAGTTCTGAAGAAGTCAGATTATCATATCACACAAGTATATACTGTGATACGACACACATATAGGAGGTCACTATAGGTACACAGGGGATTATCTCCAACCTGATAGATTGATGGGTCTTATTCTTATTGTGCAGTGCACATTCTCTCTCTCTGTCTCTTTCTCTCTCTTTCGTTCACACATGCCCAGAAACATTTAGACTCCTGTCTTTGGGCCATGATGTTTCCAAAGCAAAATGCCCCTCTTTATCCTAGCACAAAGACAGACAGTTTAAGGTTGAATTCTGAAATCATCTGTCCTTGGTTTTGGCCCTTTGGCTCTCATTGTACCTATAGGAACTGTGCTAACTCCTTTCCCTCTCTAGGTCATCCTCTCCTCTGTTGAGCTCCAGGTATTATTTATAGTCATTCTTTTTAAATACTATGATCTCTCTGAGCCCCATCTATAAATAAAAGCTCTAATAGCATTGATAATAATTTACCTGAAACATATTTAGCATTTGCTGAGCACAGTGGCTCATACCTGTAATCCAGAACTTTGGGAGGCTGAGGCAAGAGGATTGCCTGGGGCTAGGAGTTCAAGACCAGCCTGGGCAATAAAGCAAGCCTCCCCTGTCTCTACAAATAATAATAATAATAATAATAATAATAATAATAATAGTAATAATAATTATCCAGGCTTTGTGGCAAGTGCCTGTAGTCCTAGTTTTTCAGGAGGCTGAGGCAGGAGGATCCCCTGAGCCCAGGAGTTCAAGACTGGAGTGAGCTATGATTGTACCACTACACTCTAGTCAGCCAATAGAGGGAGACCTTATCTCTAAAATAAATAAATAAAAACACTTTTAGTCTCTATCCTATAATAACACCCCAAGTATTATTATTTGTGACTAACCATAGATTTATGCCATTAAAGGAACCTCCAACAGCAAAGGAGAAAGTTGAACTTTTGACAAAGATGGGAGGATTAAGTCTTAAGGAATTTCATATCATCCAACTGGCTAATAAGCAAACAGAGACTTTGGAGTTAAGATTGAGGTGTCTTTAGATGTATTGGGTCATTGATTATTATTATTGTTATTAGGCTTACAGTAGTAGTGAAGGTAGAATAGTTAAACAGTTATGGCGTTAAAGAAAACTGTGGGATGGGGTGCAATGGCTCACGCCTGTAATCCCAGCAGTTTGGAAGGTCGAGGCAGGTGGATCACAAAGTCAGGAGTTTGAGACCAGCCTGGCAAATATAATGAAACCCTGTCTCTACTAAAAATACAAAAAAAAAAAAAAAAAAATTAGCTGGGCGTGGTGGCACATGCCTATAATCCCAGCTACTTGGGAGGCTGAGGCAGGAGAATTGCTTGAACCCGGGAGGTGGAGATTGCAGTGAGCCGAGATCGCACCACTACGCACCAGCCTGGGTGACAGAGAGACTCTGTTTAAAAAAAAAAAAAGAAATAAAACTGTGGATGCTTATCAGACAAGGTTAATGCATTTGATGCCCTGGGATCTGTACTCCTTAAGAAGTGACATTCCTCTTCCACTGTACAGAAAAAACACATAAATAATATGATAAAATGAACAATCTTGGGGATTTTTATCTTCTTCAGTGAGTTTTGTAGTTTTTAAAGCCTTTCATTATACAACCATCTTTTGTTATTGAAGCTAGTAGGTACCTGAGGTTTGTTTTCTCAGAAGGATTCAGTTCCGTCTCTTGTGGCTTTCACTTCCACCTGACTGTTATGTCACTTCTCTTTCATTTATTTATTTATTTTCCTTAGAGGCCTAACCAGGCAAACTGCTCTCTTCTGATAACATTTTAAAAATAGTTGTTATATAGTTATTTATTTGATTCAAACTGACCACTTCTATGAAATCTTTGTGGTTTGGAATATTCATCAGGAATCTTATCAAATGTGGTAAGAAAGTCCCTTCTGCTTAGCATGATTGTAACCCTCCTTTCACACCTTCAATATCTTAGACAGTGGGTAGCAATATCAAGGAAGATTTTCCACAAGCAAAATCTGTGGAAGATTTATCAGCTGTTCCCACCACTAAGAATACAAACTTTCTCTTCACAAATTGTCATACGAAGTAATATGATTCTAGAGTGCTACTCTGTCTTCAAAAGATTAAAAAAAAAACACTAGATATGGTGAAATCATAACTAGAGAAAAAATGTGTTTTTCTCCACTCCACCTAACTTTCGTATATGGTTATACAAAATTAACGTTTTCAGTTTCTTGTGTTGACACTTTTAAAAACAGTAGCAGAAGAGGGTTTAGTGTTTGAATTTTTATATTCTTTTTTTGGATTTAGCTTTCACAAGAAATTCTATCGTTGCAGCACTAAATGGAGAATCTTATAAAAATTTAATCAGATTTCTTCCACAGAGAGAAAAGAACAAAGTCTTACTTTGTCATCTTGTACAAATGGTGCGTTTTCTCTTTCTAACTAATCAGATACCAGGGATGCTCTTATGAGTTGATGAAGTGCAATGTGAATTGTGACTCAGCTAACATTTATGAAGAAAGAACTCTGTGTCAGACATGGTTACATATCTTAATAATATTGTTTAATCACAGGGCATAATAACTATTGCTACATTATATAATTGCCAACTACCTGCCAGAAGATTTTTGCTCATTTATTGATGTTGCTCAAAGCCATGCAGTCAGTAAGTGCTGAAGGTAAGATCTGATGTTCATTTCATTTAGCTCTGTAGTCTGTGTTCTAGTATTTCTTACTCAGTGCTGCCTGATTAAATAGGGTAATTTGGTCTTCCCTTGATTTGTACCTCCCTTGATTTGTACCTCACACACTATCTCTTTTTAAATTTAAATTACCAAGAATTACACTAAAACTGATTTACCTGTGTGGATAATAAAAACCTTTGACTTTTTAAAGTGACCTCTTCACTGTACAAATGCTCTTGGGAGGCCTTAAACATTTATTGGAGTAAAGTATAAGAGGATGTGATTTGAGCCAGGCCCTGGGACAATAGGATGCAGTCAAAGTGCCTAGGAGTGTGTGCATGTGAGAATGTGGTTGGCTTAATAATGGAGGAAAGAGTCATAGCAAAGAAAGATGAGAGAATTCAAGGCAAGTCTCTGGTACTTTACAACTTATAGCACTATTTCTCTCCTGCCTTGTGTCTTATCAGAAAGATTCCACCAAGAAAACTTACAGGTTCTTGTTGTGGGTTTACTGTAAGCTCTGCCTTTACGTTTTCTTTATTCTTTTAACTTTCCTGGTTCCTATGCCTCCTTTAATCAGCTTAGTTTTCTGAGCCTAATGTTTTTAGTTTTCTTGCAGTCTTGGAGGCATCCTGCTCAAAACTTTACAAATGGCAATTTTTGAGGGAATAAAATTTTTTGAAGTTAAAGTCTTCCAGGGGAAGTATTTTCACAGTGTCTATTCAAAGTGAATAGGCAGTTAATTATCCTAATTGATTGTCATGGTGACTGAGGATAGAGAGAAGATACATGCCACAGAAGATGTTGAGCTGGTGAAATGCAGAAGCAAATGGGCAAGGGTCCAAGGGTAGGACCTGGAAGGTTGGTGTTAGCACTAGTGTCAGTTTTGTTGATATCATACCTGGAAAGGGAACAGAATTATGTCTAAAATCTGGTAGTGTTAATTGCATGGAAAATGTGTGGAGCTGGCAAAGTAAGAATGAGAACATCTTATTATGTTCTCGTTTCACTTTGGGGTAAGTTCTCTTTTGCTGGTTAAAGATTTCTAATATAAAATATTTCTATTCTAAACTATCTTATGTTTCTGGCACTGTTCTATGCAGTATAGGTGGGATAGTGCTATGGAAGATTTTGAAATAATACCAGGTTTTCTTTAGTGGCACAATTCTCCCCTCATTGGCATTCTCTCCCTATAATAACTTCAAGAGTTTTGATTTTACTGGGTTTCTCTAAACTTTTTTAAGTTACTACTAATAGGAAATTATGGAAATATGCCTTTTAAAGATATTTGTGATTTTAAATGACTCTTCAAGACCAAATGGATCAGTGAGAAGGCTATAAGCTTTGGAATGAGATAGACATGGTATTTTGTCTCTGCTTTACCACTTAATATACTGGTACTTTTAAACAAGTAATTAATCTTTTCTGATCCTGCTATGATCTGACTGTTTTTGTCCTTCCAAAATGTATACATTGAAAACTCATTACCAATGTCATGGTATTAGGAGGAGGAGCCTTCAGGATGTGATTAGACATGAGGGCAGAATCCTTATGAATGAAATCAGTGCCTTTATAAAGCAGGCTCTAGAGAGCTACCTTGCCCTTCCACCATGTGAGAACAGAGAGAAGGCATCCTCAACGAATCCGAAAGCTGGCTTTCATCAGATATTGAATCTGCCTGGATGTTGGACTTCCTAGGCTCCCGAATTCTGAGATGTAAATTTCTGTTATCTGTAAGCTACCCAGTCTATGGTATTTTGCAATAGCAGTCTGAATGGAATAAGACAGATCCTAAGCATCTCCACCTGTAAAGTGGAGATAAATACCTTATGGGATGGTGTGAATTGTGAAGATTAAATGAAATAATGTATGTACTACACAGAATGCAGAGCACAAAGTGAGGGCTCCATAAATAACCTTTGCTGTTGTGCTCTTCTATTTGAATCACTCAAAACAGAGATCAGAATATATTAAAATCACAATCATTCTTATTTCATTTTTTTCCCAGTAATATTCAACACTTGAATCTGGGGGCATAATTTCTGTCCCTGTAGCTAGTAGAGATGGTTGCAAATTTGGCTCAAAGGTAAGAGTAGGCAAAGAGAGAAAAGTGGAAGGATCTTTTTGAGATGCTTGCTATAAAATCAAGTGTGTCCTTAAGTTTCACTTTGGGGTAAGCTCTCTTCTGCTAGTTAAATATTTTAAAAATAGAATATTTCCTTTAAATATTATCTTAAAGTTTATCTTGGCAGAGGAAAACTGGCAACCTCTTAGCATTTTTAATTTTGATAGCCAAAACCCGTGTACTGTACCTACATTTCAAAATTTAACTCATATTATACCTAAGATGTTTAGGGAGACTGTAGTTTCTTTACTTTATCAATAACTAATATTATTTTTCTCTCAATAATCATCTATAGTTTAGTTGGAAGGGGACTTTTTAAGTCATTTCCTGTTTCACATTCATCTATTTCTACAATTTATACAGTCCTTCCAGGTTTTGCTCAGTGTTTCTAGGAAAGAAAGGCTTTCAGATTTTAGTTTATTCTTACAAGCTTCTTTCCAAGATGGTAGCTGAATATTTGGGAGTAAAATAGTACATGAAATCATGGAGGAAGGTAAGACTTGGAGAACTTGGGAATAATACTGACTGGTTTCTTCAGTCTTAGGCACAATGTCCTCCTTCCTTCCTGGTTGCAGCTTGTCCTTCTGGTATCCATGGCTGGAGAATATAGCTGAAGCTCTTCCATCTCTTCCAAAGCCCACTGACTCAGCTTCACTTTAGTTAAAATTTTGTCGATAGACCCCTCTTAGATCTGGCTGTAGTTCCCTTTCAGCCAAGTGCCAAAAGTCTGAGCTGTCTTACCCAAAGACATTTTGGATCACTCTTGGGATCTCTTCTGCAGGTTCCTTAACGAGACTCAGCAATTTGTAGGTATCTGCAGGCTCATGATCATGCACCTCAATGCTTTCCAGTGACTGGCCATCCTGAACCACCAGATTTACTTTTTTCAGCTGTGTCTTTGAAGCTTTCTCTTTGTATAATTTCAGAAGAAGAGTGGGTGTCCTTGGTGCCACTGCAACTTGTATCATCATACTCCTTTTCTGAGCTAAAGTCTGCAGGGAGGAAATTGGGACATGTGCCTCAATTTTCTCTCCTGCCTTTCTTTCTCTTTCTTCTTCCCACATCCCCCAGGACCAAATTGTGCAGGCTTTTCCTTACATCAAATCTCAATTTCATTACTGAAACTAAATGATGAGGACTATTTCATCTACCTTACAGGGAGGACTCCATAATCTGTGTCTTCCTACTTTATCCCTTGATTTCTCAAATGATAACTAAAGGAATGCAGCAATTCTGCTTTCAAGGAAGCCTGATTTTCTTGCCTCTTGGCATGCCAAAGAAGTCAAGTGCTGACTCTGTGTTGCTTGAGAACAATAGAATTCATTTAAGCGGAAGGTTGAAATGTAGCCATGATAAAAAAAAAAAAAAGAGCTGCTAAGATGCATTTATAATAGACTTGTAAAAAATTATTTCAATTACCTATGACTTTATTTTGAAAATCCAATGGCTCTTCCGTTTTGTGCAAACTAATTTTGAAAAATTAACCAAGCACATATTATATTGGTATATTAATTTTTTTTACTGTTAATGCATAATCCCATGTGGAACAAGGATTGTAATGAAAAATGTGTCTTTAGCATAGTATCTGTTATGTAGTAGGCCTTCATTAAATATTTGTTGAGAGAATTAATTTATGGTAAGTTATACTCCAGTTTATATTGGCAAAGTACTTTAATGATATATGAAGAGGAAACATTGTAAAAGATAGCGACTGCTTTGATAAAAGTTTTTAGAGATTTTCAAACTTCATCTAATAATCTTTTACTATTGGACATTTTTTCATAGCTTCTTTATTTTATCTTTTTTTCTCTCCCCATTACTTCTGTTTGGTGGAAGTAACATGCTTTTGGCAGTTAGAATAGAATTTGATGCCTTTTCATTTTCTTTTCACTTAAGCTATTAAACTTTTCCCTGTTTTTGAGTCGTGTTCTGGGATATCTTTTGCTCTCAGCCTGCTTCAAGTCTGAATGCAAATAACTGTGCAAACTGACTGCAAGTGTAATGCAGGTATCTGTATTATATGAGCAAATCTTGCCCATTACTAACAGAGGCTACACAAGAATTATCTGTCCATTACAATCTGCTGCAGCTTCAAAATATCCCAAAGCAAAAGTAAGGCAAGTTTGTAGAGGCTAAGTTATAAAAATAAAAAATACCACCACCTGTGAGCACTAAAAATGTTCTTGCTAACACTATGTTTCTCTTATTGGTTCAAACATCTTTCTTTCCAAATTGTATTACTCATTTTAGACTGAGTTTATATGTATTACAAATTCTAAATAACAAAATTAAATTAGTTTTCCTTGACTCATCAAAATAATTAAACCAGTGTGTGGTTACCTTGGCTCTCTAATTTAAATAAACAAAATAATGAATTAAGTCATTTATTTATTCCATAAATTGTTATTCAATGCTTAGTATTTGCCAAATGGTCCTCTAGGTAGAAGAGATACAAAAATGAACAAAACAAACAGCAAGCAGTCTCTGCCCTTATGAAGCATATATTATAGTGGAGACAGGCACACATTAAACAAAACAAGTGTGTTATATGCAATCAAATTATCAAATATTTACTGAATATACTCACATCCCAATATTTGCAAAATACAATGATACTTACAAACTAGCATATCCATAGTCTTTTCTATTGAAACTTCAAGTTTCTCTTAAGAGCTAAGTTTGAAACTATTAAAGAACTATATAATTTGTAACATTTGTGAAAAATAAATAGCTATATGAAACAATAGCATAATCACCTGAATGTTTAATAATTATAATGATAGTAAATATTATAATCCCACCTTAATTTATCACAACTACTCACATTATTAGCCCATTTGTGTTAACACAATCTCAATAAGGTTGGTGGGACACATGTGATTATTCCTGTTTGTAGGAAGACTCTGAGACACAGAGGGGTAAAGCAACTTGCTTGTGTTTCATGATTTGTAATTGAGAGCTTGAACCAAGGTGCTGGACTCATAGTTAGTATTTAGGGAACATAAAGGAAGAAAATGTGTACCAAGAAGGCTGGCAGTGACACTGCACAGCTGGAAAATAGCAGAATACAAAAAGAGGTCTCAAGATCTCTTCCCACATCAAATCGCATTATTCTTCTTAAAGAAATATCATTCCCATTACATAGTCTTCAAGTTTTATGGAGCAGTTTTTCACTCATCCAAAGCAGAACTATTTTTGGAGGGCAGCTTTCTATTTCTGCAAATCTGATTTCTCTTTGAAACTTACTTTCTACCTCTCTTAGTTTTTATCCTACCTTCAACCTATTATGTCTAAAACAAGCTCATTGTCTTTCTTCCAGAATAAGTTATTTTAGGGCATGTTTATAGACGTCATTATTCTCCAATTGTTGAGGCTGAAAACTTTGTAGCCATCCTAGTCATCTCTCTCTTTTATATTTTCCGTTTGCCAAGAGTAGCTAGTCAGCATCTTTTGTGTTTGCTAGTTGATTTCCATTTCCATTGCTCCAAGGCTAAAGCAGAATCTCATTACTTCATGTGTGGATACATTTAATAATATTATAGTTAATTTTATCCACCCCTTTAGTTCATCATACAAAGTCAGACATCTGGGTTATTATATATAAAATTATTGTCAACCAAAAGTGATAAAGGATAAGGAAAGGCTGTCATTGTATCAATGGCATTTTTACTTGCATTTTATATTTGATATAAGAACAGGTGTTTCATTTGTCTTGTTCAATACTATATCTCCAAGCCCTGAAACAATGTTGTCATGAACAGACTGCAGATTGCTGTCTTACATCATGATACTTACACTTGTCTGGCCAAGTGATCCCTGACTCATGGTATTTCAATATCCTCCCCTTGATTGTGGATAGGACCTATGACTTGCTTCTAACCAACAGAAGATGGCCAAGGTGGTGGAATGCTATTTCCATGATTACATTATGGAAGGTTGTTACTTTAATCTTACCAGCAGACTCTGTACTGACTCTCCCATGCTGGCTGTAGTGAAACAAGCTGCCATATGAAGAGATCCACATGGTAAGAAAACCAACAGCCAGCAAGTTGCCAAGGATTTCACCTGACAGCTTACAAAGAAAGATGTGAATCCTGCTCAAAGCCACATGAACTTCCAAGTAGATCCTTCCTCAAGTAGAGCCTTAGATGAGACTCCAGTTCTGGTCAGTGCCTTGAATGCAGACTTGGGAGAGACACTGAAGCAGAGGACTGAACTAAGCCGTGCTGGGATTCCTGATCCACAGAAATTGAGAGATAATAAATGTGTGTGGCTTAAAGTTGATAAGTCTTTGGTTATTTGTTACTAAGTAATAGATAATACATACAACTTGCATTTACTTGGAGGTGAATAAATATTTGTCAACTGAATAAGTGAATGGAATATTCTCTTTGTAGTTTTACAGGTTAACATTATATATAGTATTTAAAATATGTTCTAAAAAAGAAAAACAACACATAACGCTTAAGCAAGCTAAATTTATTTTAAGATCCGAATCTTTAAAGACATTTTCTCTAGTGTTGAGTAGTTTTACTGCAAATGAAGTAGCATCAGTTTTTGCTTTGAGTTTTAGTTGGTGTTTGATGGCTGAAATCGCTAACGTCATTTAAAGTGTTTAATTAAATGTGTGATCTATACTTTCACACAATGGTTAATTAAGCCTACGTCTGTAGACATAAACCGATCACTCCTTTTATTTTCTCAAAGACTTTGAAGTTTCAAAGTCATTTTTTGCCATAATTCTTGAGGAGGATGCTTAATTAAATTTGTATTGTTTTCAGATATCTTTACTACCAGCAGCATAGTGTACTACAGTGCTGAACATGCAGAGACAATATACATTATAAATCGAAATGTTGCAAATATACATTAAAGATTAAATTCCCTAGATATTACCTCACTTGCAAAGACTAATGTCAGAAGAGAAATCTTAATGTTTCATATCTCCTGTAAAATATTGGAAAATCACAGTTCTCTTAGGAAGAAAAAAGAAGTTTCAATAAGGTTAACATCTACAATATATGATGGCATATGAGGAACACATACTTTTTATTATAAGTATTAAAAGAAAAACATCAGTAGGCAATATGCTAACATGGAAATGGTAGTTTTTATGTTTGCATAAGCTATTCCTGAAAATTTTGAAATTGATTAAAATGTTTACTCCTATGATAGTCAATTTCTTGGTTGCTTCTTTATTTAACCTAACTCATTTTCAGACCATCTCACTCCACCAGAAACCTCATCTTTTCATTTTACCATTATAGTGATTGAGTTTAGAACTGATCACATCAAACAGAAAACAATCTTGAGTTAATTAAGTATGCCTTGCTATTTTTTTAAAAAATCAATGGATGAGAGTATATTTAACCATAGACCTTTCTAAAAAAGTAATTCCCAGTGGAAACCCTAATTTTGAAACATAATTTTTTTAATATATGTATTTCTTATTATACTTTAAGTTCTAGGGTACAAGTGCAGTATGGTATATTTAACAGAATAAAAATGGACAATTTAAAGCTCTGTGTGGGTAACTACTTTAAAGGAGAACATGTAAAACAAATAAAAATTAGAAATTCAAATTTCAATGCAAGAAGTTGTTGAAGTTCTTTTTATCCTCTTTGATCAAAAAAGGCAGAGATAATACTTGGGGAGAGCTCCTGGTTAAAAAAAAAATTGGCCTCAACTGCGGTGTATTGTAGTGAGTGTGAATCATATTGTCAACAAAGGGAATTACATTTGATACCTAGTGACTAGAATGAATTTCAGGAATTAAAAGGATGCTTAGAAAGTGGGACAGTTAGAGGAGAGATACAAGAATCTAGGTCATCCCTAGTTCATAGTCTTTGGTATCTTTACTGAGACATTGGGTTAATTCCTAAGTCAGTCTCTATGTTTATCATTTTAAAATTGTTATTTTATGTCTCTTTTTCCTTCAGTTCTGCACTGATCTTAGTTATTTCTTGCCTTCTGCTAGCTTTTGAATATGTTTGCTCTTGCTTCTCTAGTTCTTTTAATTCTGATGTTAGGGTGTCAGTTTTAGATCTTTCCTGCTTTCTCTTGTGGGCATTTAGTGCTATAAATTTCCCTCAACACACTGCTTTGAATGTGTCCCAGAGATTCTGGTATGTTGTATCTTTGTTCTCATTGGTTTCAAAAAACATCTTTATTTCTGCCTTCATTTCATTATGTACCCAGTAGTCATTCAGGGGCAGGTTGTTCAGTTTCCATGTAGTTGAGTGGTTTTGAGTGAGTTTCTTAATCCTGAGTTCTAGTTTGATTGCACTGGGGTCTGAGAGAGAGTTTGTTATAATTTCTGTTCTTTTACATTTGCTGAGGAGTGCTTTACTTCAACTATGTGGTCAATTTTGGAATAAGTGCGATGTGGTGCTGAGAAGAATGTATATTCTGTTGATTTTGGGTGGAGAGTTCTGTAGATGTCTATTAGGTCTGCTTGGTGCAGAGCTGAGTTCAATTCCTGGGTATCCTTGTTAACTTTCTGTCGCGTTGATCTGTCTAATGTTGACAGTGGGGTGTTAAAGTCTCCCATTATTATTGTTTGGGAGTCTAAGTCTCTTTGTAAGTCTGTAAGGGCTTGCTTTATGAATCTGGGTGCTCCTGTATTGGGTGCATACATATTTAGGATAGTTAGCTCTTCTTGTTGAATTGATCCCTTTACCATTATGTAATGGCGTTCTTTGTCTCTTTTGATCTTTGTTGGCTTAAAGTCTGTTTTATCAGAGACTAGGATTGCAACCCCTGCCTTTTTTGTTTTCCATTTGCTTGTTAGATCGTCCTCCGTTCCTTTATTTTGAACCTATGTGTTAGACATAAAACCATAAAAACCCCAGGAGAAAACCTAGCCAATACCATTCAGGACATAGGCATGGGCAAGGACTCCATGTCTAAAACACCAAAAGCAATGGCAACAAAAGCCAAAATTGACAAATGGGATCTAATTAAACTAAAGAGCTTCTGCACAGCAAAAGAAACTACCATCAGAGTGGACAGGCAACCTACAGAATGGGAGAAAATTTTTGTAATCTACTCATCTGACAAAGGGCTAGTATCCAGAATCTACAATGAACTCAAACAAATGTACAAGAAAAAAACAAACAACCCCATCAAAAAGTGGGCAAAGGATATGAACACACACTTCTCAAAAGAAGATATTTATGCAGCCAAAAGACACATGAAAAAATGCTTATCATCACTGGTCATCAGAGAAATGCAAATCAAAACCACAATGAGATACCATCTCACACCAGTTAGAATGGCGATCATTAAAAAGTCAGGAAACAACAGGTGCTGGAGAGGATGTGGAGAAATAGGAACACTTTTATACTGTTGGTGGGACTGTAAACTAGTTCAGCCATTGTGGAAGTCAGTGTGTCAATTCCTCAGGGATCTAGAACTAGAAATACCATTTGACCCAGCCATCCCATTACTGGCTATATACCCAAAGGATTATAAATCATGCTGCTATAAAGACGCATGCACACGTATGTTTGTTGCAGCACTATTCACAATAGCAAAGACTTGGAACCAAGCCAAATGTCCAACAATGATAGACTGGATTAAGAAAATGTGGCACACATACACCATGGAATACTGTGCAGCCATAAAAAATGATGAGTTCATGTCCTTTGTAGGGACATGGATGAAGCTGGAAACCATCATTCTCAGCAAACTATCACAAGGACACAAAACCAAATACTGCATATTCTCACTCATATGTGGGAACTGAACAATGAGAACACATGGACACAGGAAGGGGAACATCACACACTGGGGCCTGTTGTGGGATAGGGGGAGTGGGGAGGGTTACCATTAGGAGATATACCTAATGTTAAATGACGAGTTAATGGGTGCAGCACACCAACATGGCACGTGTATGTATATGTAACAAACTGCACGTTGTGCACATGTGCCCTAAAACTTAAAGTATAATAGATAAAATAAAATTGTTATTTTAATATTAAGAAATATTTTTAAATGATTTAGAAATTTAGAATAAATAATATTCATTAGAAAGAACATTGGCTGGGTGTGGTGGCTCAGCCTTTAATCCCAGCACTTTGGGATGCTGAGGTGTGTGGATCAACTGGGGTCAGGAGTTCAAGACCAGCCTCACCAAGATGGTGAAACCCCATCTCTACTAAAAATACAAATATTAGCTGGGCATGGTGGCGCATGTCTGTAGTCCTAGCTACTTGGAAGGCTGAGGTGGGAGGATCACTTGAACCCAGGAGGCGGAGGTTACAGTGAGCTGAGATCATGCCACTGCACTCCAGCCTGGGTAAGAGAGACTACATCTCAAAAAAAAAAAAAAAAAAAAAAAAAGGAAGACCATCTAACATACCTGTATGCCCAGCCCAGTGTTGATCTCAACTCTAAGATAAATCGTGGAAACATACGAAGTTCAGTTTGCAGTTTAAGTGATTAGACAGGCTGAGATCTCATGAAAATCCTTGAGAAAACTAGACTCGAGGATGTATCAATCTGTAGTAGAATCTTAACATATATAGAAATGCTTCTTCAATGTAATTCCTTTGTACAGTGCTGAAAAAGTTTCCAAATGCTCATGATTAAATGAAAGAAATAAAAATGTAATCATTTATTAATTTTTTCACAAGGCCAAATTTATTAAAGGAATAGACTTTATTCTGCAGTTATGTCCATCTTAAATACTAGATGCTATGTAATCTGTACCAGATGAGATAATTAATATTTCTACACAGCAATATACAAAGTTTGGAATTCTAGTTTTGTTTAAACAAAAAAATCTAAAAATCTTGGCACTTTAGCTCTATACTTTACTGGGCATCTCTTAGGAATATCAGCCTTATCCTACTGTTCTGAGATCTCTGAGATTGGTGGGAGTGGACTTTGACAAGTCTTGGGCATGGAAGAGCAACAATTTTATAAATATAACAAGTTTTAGCATGCTTCTGTGGTTCCCACTGCCCAGACTGATTATTAAGCAGTTTCTTTTTTTTTATTTTATTATTATACTTTAAGTTTTAGGGTACATGTGCACATTGTGCAGGTTAGTTACATATGTATACATGTGCCATGCTGGTGCACTGCACCCACTAACTTGTCATCTAGCATTAGGTATATCTCCCAGTGCTATCCCTCCCCCCTACCCCCACCTCACAACAGTGCCCAGAGTGTGATATTCCCCTTCCTGTGTCCATGTGATCTCATTGTTCAATTCCCACCTATGAGTGAGAATATGCGGTGTTTGGTTTTTTGTTCTTGCGATAGTTTACTGAGAGTGATGTTTTCCAGTTTCATCCATGTCCCTACAAAGGACATGAACTCATCATTTTTTATGGCTGCATGGTATTCCATGGTGTATATGTGCCACATTTTCTCAATCCAGTCTATCATTGTTGGACATTTAGGTTGCTTCCAAGTCTTTGCTATTGTGAATAATGCCCCAATAAACATACATGTGCATGTGTCTTTATAGCAGCATGATTTATAGTCCTTTGGGTATATACCCAGTAACGGGATGGCTGGGTCAAATGGGATTTCCAGTCCTAGATCCCTGAGGAATCGCCACACTGACTTCCACAATGGTTGAACTAGTTTACAGTCCCACCAACAGTGTAAAAGTGTTCCTATTTCTCCACATCCTGTCCAGCACCTGTTGTTTCCTGACTTTTTAATGATAGCCATTCTAACTGGTGTGAGATGGTATCTCATTGTGGTTTTGATTTGCATTTCTCTGATGGTCAGTGATGGTGAGCATTTTTTCATGTGTTTTTTGACTGCATAAATGTCTTCTTTTGAGAAGTGTCTGTTCATGTCCTTCGCCCACTTTTTGATGGGGTTGTTTGTTTTTTTCTTGTATATTTGTTTGAGTTCATTGTAGATTCTGGATATTAGCCCTTTGTCAGATGAGTCGGTTGCAAAAATTTTCTCCCATTTTGTAGGTTGCCTGTTCACTCTGATGGTAGTTTCTTTTTCTGTGCAGAAGCTCTTTAGTTTAATTAGATCCCATTTGTCAATTTTGGCTTTTGTTGCCATTGCTTTTGGTGTTTTAGACATGGAGTCGTTGCCCATGCCTATGTCCTGAATGGTAATCCCTAGGTTTTCTTCTAGGGTTTTTATGGTTTTAGGTCTAATGTTTAAGTCTTTAATCCATCTTGAATTGAGTTTTGTATAAGGTGTAAGGAAGTGATCCAGTTTCAGCTTTCTACATATGGCTAGCCAGTTTTCCCGGCACCATTTATTAAATAGGGAATCCTTTCCCTATTGCTTGTTTTTCTCAGGTTTGTCAAAGATCAGATAATTGTAGATATGCGGCGTTATTTCTGAGGGCTCTGTTCTGTTCCATTGATCTTTATCTCTGTTTTGGTACCAGTACCATGCTGTTTTGGTTACTGTAGCCTTGTAGTATAGTTTAAAGTCAGGTAGTGTGATGCCTCCAGCTTTGTTCTTTTGGCTTAGGATTAACTTGGTGATGAGGGCTCTTTTTTGGTTCCATATGAACTTTAAAGTAGTTTTTTCCAATTCTGTGAAGAAAGGCATTGGTAGCTTGATGGGGATGGCATTGAATCTATAAATTACCTTGGGCAGTATGGCCATTTTCACGATATTGATTCTTCCTACCCATGAGCATGGAATGTTCTTCCATTTGTTTGTATCCTCTTTTATTTCCTTGAGCAGTGGTTTGTAGTTCTCCTTGAAGAGGTCCTTCACATCCCTTGTAAGTTGGATTCCTAGGTATTTTATTCTCTTTGAAGCACTTGTGAATGGGAGTTCACTCATGATTTGGCTCTCTGTTTGTCTGTTATTGGTGTATAAGAATGCTTGTGATTTTTGTACATTGATTTTGTATCCTGAGACTTTGCTGAAGTTGCTTATCAGCTTAAGGAGATTTTGGGCTGAGACAATGGGGTTTTCTAGATATACGATCATGTCATCTGCAAACAGGGACAATTTGACTTCCTCTTTTCCTAATTGAATACCCTTTATTTCCTTCTCCTGCCTGATTGCCCTGGCCAGGACTTCCAACACTATGTTGAATAGGAGTGGTGAGAGAGGGCATCCCTGTCTTGTGCCAGTTTTCAAAGGGAATGCTGCCAGTTTTTGCCCATTCAGTATGATATTGGCTGTAGGTTTGTCATAGATAGCTCTTATTATTTTGAAATACATCCCATCAATACCTAATTTATTGAGAGTTTTTAGCATGAAGGGTTGTTGAATTTTATCAAAGGCTTTTTCTGCATCTATTGAGATAATCATGTGGTTTTTGTCTTTGGCTCTGTTTATATGCTGGATTACATTTATTGATTTGCATATATTGAACCAGCCTTGCATCACAGGGATGAAGCCCACTTGATCATGGTGGATAAGCTTTTCGATGTGCTGCTGGATTCGTTTTGCCAGTATTTTATTGAGGATTTTTGCATCAATGTTCATCAAGGATATTGGTCTAAAATTCTCTTTTTTTGTTGTGTCTCTGCCTGGCTTTTGTATCAGAATGATGCTGGCCTCATAAAATGAGTTAGGGAGGATTCCCTCTTTTTCTATTGATTGGAATAGTTTCAGAAGGAATGGTACCAGTTCCTCCTTGTACCTCCGGTAGAATTCAGCTGTGAATCCATCCAGGAGAACTTCCCCAATCTAGCAAGGCAGGCCAACATTCAGATTCAGGAAATACAGAGAACGCCACAAAGATACTCCTCAAGAAGAGCAACTCCAAGGCACATAATTGTCAGATTCACCAAAGTTGAAATGAAGGAAAAAATGTTAAGGGCAGTCAGAGAGAAAGGTCGGGTTACCCTCAAAGGGAAGCCCATCAGACTAACAGCGGATCTCTCGGCAGAAACCCGACAAGCCAGAAGAGAGTGGGGGCCAATATTCAACATTCTTAAAGAAAAGAATTTTCAACCCAGAATTTCATATCCAGCCAAACTAAGCTTCATAAGCGAAGGAGAAATAAAATACTTTACAGACAAGCAAATGCTTAGAGATTTTGTCACCACCAGGCCTGCCCTAAAAGAGCTCCTGAAGGAAGCGCTAAACATGGAAAGGAACAACTGGTACCAGCCGCTGGAAAATCATGCCAAAATGTAAAGACCATCAAGACTAGGAAGAAACTGCATCAACTAACGCGCAAAATAACCAGCTAACATCATAATGACAGGATAAAATTCACACATAACAATATTAACTTTAAATGTAAATGGACTAAATGCTCCAATTAAAAGACACAGACTGGCAAATTGGATAAAGAGTCAAGACCCATCAGTGTGCTGTATTCAGGAAACCCATCTCATGTGCAGAGACACACATAGGCTCAAAATAAAAGGATGGAGGAAGATCTTCCAAGCAAATGGAAAACAAAAAAAGGCAGGGGTTGCAATCCTAGTCTCTGATAAAACAGACTTTAAACCAACAAAGATCAAAAGAGACAAAGAAGGCCATTACATAATGGTAAAGGGATCAATTCAACAAGAAGAGCTAACTATCCTAAATATATATGCACCCAATACAGGAGCACCAAGATTCATAAAGCAAGTCCTGAGTGACCTACAAAGAGACTTAGACTCCCACATATTAATAATGGGAGACTTTAACACCCCACTGTCAACATTAGACAGATCAACGAGACAGAAAGTTAACAAGGATACCCAGGAATTGAACTCAGCTCTGCACCGAGCGGACCTAATAGACATCTACAGAACTCTCCACCCCAAATCAACAGAATATACATTTTTTTCAGCACCATACCACACCTATTCCAAAATTGACCACATAGTTGGAAGTAAAGCTCTCCTCAGCAAATGGAAAAGAACAGAAATTATAACAAACTATCTCTCAGACCACAGTGCAATCAAACTAGAACTCAGGATTAAGAATCTCACTCAAAACCGCTCAACTACATGGAAACTGAACAACCTGCTCCTGAATGACTACTGGGTACATAACGAAATGAAGGCAGAAATAAAGATGTTCTTTGAAACCAACGAGAACAAAGACACAACATACCAGAATCTCTGGGACACATTCAAAGCAGTGTGTAGAGGGAAATTTATAGCACTAAATGCCCACAAGAGAAAGCAGGAAAGATCCAAAATTGGCACCCTAACATCACAATTAAAAGAACTAGAAAAGCAAGAGCAAACACATTCAAAAGCTAGCAGAAGGCAAGAAATAACTAAAATCAGAGCAGAACTGAAGGAAATAGAGACACAAAAAAACCTTCAAAAAATTAATGAATCCAGGAGCTGGTTTTTTGAAAGGATCAACAAAATTGATAGACCGCTAGCAAGACTAATAAAGAAAAAAAGAGAGAAGAATCTAATAGACACAATAAAAAATGATAAAGGGGATATCACCACCGATCCCACAGAAATGCAAACTACCATCAGAGAATACTACAAACACCTCTACGCAAATAAACTAGAAAATCTAGAAGAAATGGATAAATTCCTCGACACATACACTCTCCCAATACTAAACCAGGAAGAAGTTGAATCTCTGAATAGACCCATAACAGGATCTGAAATTGTGGCAATAATCAATAGCTTATTAAGCAGTTTCTTGCCTTTCTGTTCCCAATATTATTTCAACTGGGAGCTCCATTTCTTAATGAATTTGATATCTTAGCTCATGGCTAAAATAATATTCATAGTCTTTTTTTTTTTTAGCAAGTTACATTTATTTACTTAGAGTTTGTTCATTCTCAGCTGGTCTACATTTGTTGAAGAGCTCTCAATGTATACTTTCAACTGAAACCTGATACTTCCTTAGAAAACACATCTACCCAACCTCATTAAAAGCATACTTACTAGTTTTCAAAGGTGTTATGTTATTATTGCCTTTTATATAAAAAGATAAATCCAGATATAGAATATTGCCTTTTAGTTGCTTTGTTAGTGGCAGGGATGAGTTGAAATGAACTATGGAATTTGAGAACTAGAAAAGATTTAGATTGCTCAATCAAATTCCTTCATTTGTTTAGATAGAAAAACTTCTGGTGGCCCAAATTAATGCAGTAAAAGAATCAGAGTGGTAGAAACACCAATACTAGAGCCCAAATCTCCTGTTACTTAGTCTCTAGCCTTTTCTATACTCTTATCCAACATTTTCTTGGCTGTGCTTATTACTTTTATTATGACCAATTAAAAAAATACACATTGGAGTACCATCTTACTTTGTTAGGCAGCCATGGGTACAAAGATATATATATATATATATACGTGTGTGTGTGTGTGTGTGTGTGTATGTGTGTATGTATGTGTAATGATTCCTCCTCTCAAACAGAAACATACTGAGATCCATGCCGGAGAGGCTTCCTGCCTGGGCCCTATTCTTTACATGGCACTGGTTTGGATTTCCTCCAGCCATTCTCCTCTCCACAGAAACCTGAACATCACTTTTTGACCATTTGCTTGTTAACTGGTACTCTTGAATTTTCTTCCTCAACTTAGGGCCTGTATGAACTTCTTCACTGAATATGTCTTCCTGAGGGTAGGGTCCACCTTTGGTATAAAGAACCCCAAACTGCGGGATGGTTAAGAAGTTGTTGATTGTGAATATTGTGGGTGGAGCTTGGCTGAGTAGGCTGGAGATTCTATATGCATGCATGCTAAGAATTTCACTCTGTGAAACAGTACTGTGGGTGTGAAGAGAATGTAGCAAGCAGGGATCTAGGGGCTGGATATCTCTCATGGTACTATTTTCCAGCAGAGTGAGAAATTCAAGAATTATAAACTTGTACCTGAATTAGCTGGGCATTAAAACATATATTCACCAGGGCAAAAGGGTGGAATAGACTGCACAAAATAGTTTGCCAGTTCAATTTATAAATTTTAAATATTGAGATATATAATATGAGGTGCCATTTGTCCTCTAATATTGAGCCCACAAGTGTTAGAAGAAGGATATTCTCCTGGAGATTTGCCTTTGGTCATAAAACTTGCACAAATTCAATTTCATCTTCTTGATTGAAGTTGTGTCTATGACTTTTATATTATTAGGAGAATTTAAAAGAATAGCCTCTTTCAGTTGAGACAAACTTCACTTTTGAGAAATTGTAGAGTTGTTTGGTGCCTCTGGAAATGCCCCAGGCAATTCAGTGGGAATATTCCTCTTCTAAAATGATAAACAGGTCTAAAGGAATTATAATAATAATCTGATTGGAAAAACAACATTAAAATACAGGTTTGTCTTAGGAGGTAGGAATATATTCATTCATTCAATAAATATTTGTTGAGTACCTAAAAAAAATACAGGTTATGTTAGTCTTAATCTATATGCCAAAAATCATGCCCAGGATCTGATTATAGGGTGGCAAAGCTACAAAGGAATACTGAGTTCACAGGATCAACAAGTCTCGTGTATTTAATTCAATTAATTCAAAGCCCTGACTACAATAAATAAGGATCCTCAAAACTGAATAGGAAACATTTGTAAAAGCAAGCTTGAGATTCTGTAATACCCAAATTCTCCTGAACACTCAAGGCCATTATATGTAGTCCCTTTCCTTTTGCCAAAATAGATCAGCCTCCACTTGCCTGGAAACCCTGTTTGACCTCAACCCTGAAAAGTACCTCATAGGATGACATGTATTCCTTTTGACATTTGCTCCTATAAATCCTCATTCATTTTCAGACAATTTCCAGGGATAAGCTTTTCAGTATAGGCTTAGCAGAGAATTAAGTTTCCTGTTCTTTGAGAAAGCAACACATCAATCAAATGAATGGCATGATCTAACTATATGCATTGGCAGGAACCCAAAGAACGAGTATATAAGTAAATCTTGAAGATGTTAGACCTAGGAAGCAGCTTATTAGACTGGAAATAAACTTTATCAATGGTCGTCACCCATCAGTCAGATCTCAATGTCCTGGCAAGCAAGTGACCCTAATGGTTTGCTGTGATAAATTTTGAAGCTTAGGCATGATGATTATCTAAAATAAATTAGGTATAGAACTGAGGCAGATATAAGAGGTTTCAGAGAGATGAGGAAATCCGAGTAAACTTCCTTGGAAAGACCAGAGAAGCCACTATCTGATGGGCTTTTCAGAAGCTTCTAAAGAGCACAGTTTCTCCTGTAAGGTAATAGGGAACACACTGGTCAGTAGTGGGGAGAGAGGCAGTAGTGTATTTGAGAAGACTGAATTTGGTTATTATCTGCAGGTCAGGAGGGTGGGAAATCATTTTATCAAACTAGATTCCTTAGTATGAATGGGGATGATGGATTATAGGAATTCAGAGGCCAGGTGGTAGCACTCCCTTGTCAGATGTAAGGGAATTGGAATTGCCATAATTGGCATCAAGGCCAGAATGGCAATCAGGATGCCTGAGCCGTAGGTATCTGTGAAACAAGCTAAGAGATTATGATAGTTTTAAGGGTGAGATAGAAAGCCCCTAAACATATTATTATTATTATTATTAATAAAAAATAATGAAGCCGGGCATGGTGGCTCATGCCTGTAATCCCAGCACTTTGGGATGCCAAGGCAGGTGGATCACCTGATGTCAGGAGTTCGAGACCAGCCTGGCCAATGTGGTGAAATCCTGTCTCTACTAAAAATAAAAAAATTAGCCAGGCATGGTGGCGGGCGCCTGTAATTCCGGCTACTCGGGAGGCTGAAGCAGGAAAATCACTTGAACCTGGGAGGCGGAGGTTGCGGTAAGCCAAGATCACACCATTGCACTCCAAACTGGGTGACAAGAGTGAAACTCCATGTCAAAATAATAATAATAATAATAATAATAATAATAATAATACTGTTATATCAGCCACTGAAATGGAATATCATGTCCTGCCAGTTTCCAGATTTAAATCAGTTTGCTAACCCAGGGTCCAGCAGTTGAAGGAGACTGTAAGTCCTCGGCATCATCACAAATACATGTGGTAAATATTCCCTTGTTTTGTTCCCAAAGGGATCTGTGACTTTTGCCAGAGTTACAGTGCCCTGGGAAGGAGGTTTACACAGACATTTAAAAACAGTTCACTATAGCATCTAAGCTGATTCTGATGCCAGGGTATCTAAAACAGTGTTATGGTCCTCTCTTATAGAGGTTTATGGTGGATAAGTTGCAGCAGTGAATACCATAGCTTGTTTTACTAACCCTTCTGCCTAAAATTTTTTCAGACACTGCGTTTCTGTGATTTATACTTTACTCTTTTGGAGGAGTGAGGGCACAAAAATTTCACAAAAAATGGAGAATCATTTTGCAACGTGGGAGCTGGGCAAAATGGGAGGTCACAAATGAATCTGAGTGGTGCAAAGAGTTTTCTGCATGAGACATATTCTAAATGCTACTTCCACTGTTTTTGGCTTGATCTACCCTTTGTCCATGGCCACTTATTTTACTCTGACTGCTATCATCATTAACTTTATATGATAGCACCTTGTCTCCTGCTTGCGTTCTGCATCTCTTGCCTTTCCAACTGTGGTTTGCTGGTTGCCAGTGAGGTGTTAAATGCCATAGGATTCACTTGCCACCTATGCATGTGCAGGGTGGAATTGGAAGTGAAACATGGTGCATAAATTCTCAATCCTTCTTCACGTAGACAGACTCTTATAAAATGGGCTAGTAAATATGCCCTCTCAGAAGGCAGTCTGATATCAAGCAAAATTAGTTGTGCTTGATTTCAAGCAGTGGCCCGCTCAGTAATGCTCTCTCTCCTCTTTGCTCTCGGTTCTTTAATGCCTTACTCTCCATTTCCTTTCCCCTTGCTTCCCCATGATTTCTTTCAGCAGTAAAGTAATACTATACAAATTTATACCCTAAGCTCCTCTTACTTTCACTGGTCTTCTTTTTCTTATCTGAGTGGGGAGTTTCTGATAATTCAACTTAATCTGTAAAGCTTGATTTACCAAGGCAAAATTGATCATTTTCTCGCCTTTGTTACTCCTGATTTCCTAGTCTATACGTTTATCTTGCATTTACCACAATATTTTATAATGATACATATTACTGACTAAACCATGAGCTTTTTGAAGGCTATGTCTTATGCTTCTTTGAATTGTAAATATTTGAATTGGCTCTGAGACATAATACATAATCAAAAATTTTTAATGGGATGAGTTAATGATATTATTAAAATTTATTTTAAATTATTTCAAATTTTATTTTATATTCAGGGTGTACATGTGCAGGTTTGTTCCATGGGTATATTGTGTGATTCTTAGGTTTGGGATATGAATGATACTGTCACTGAGATAGTCAACATGGTACCCAAATGTCAGTTTTTTAACTCTTGCTCCTAGCCCTCCCTCATGCTTCTAGTAGTCCCCAGATTCTATTGTTGCCTTTTTTACATCCATAAGCATCTAGTATTTAGTTCTCAATTATAAGTGAGAATATGTGGTATTTGGCTTTCTGTTCCTGCATTAATTCATTTAGGGTAATAGCCTCTGCTGCATCCATGTTTCTGCCAAGGGTATCTTTTATTTTATAGTTGAATAGTATTCCATGGTGGATATGTACCATGTTTTCATTACTCAATCCACTGTTGATAGGCCCCTAGGTTGATTCCATGTCTTTGCTCTCGTGAATAGAGCTGTGATGAATATACTAGTGCATGTGTCTTTTAAGTAGAGCAATGTATTTTCTTTTGAATAGATACCCAGTAATGGGGTTGCTGGGCCGAATGATGGTTCTGTTTTAAGTTTCTTGAGATATCTCCAAACCGTTTTCCACAGTGTTTGAACTAAGTTATATCCCCACCAACAGTGTATAAGCATTCCCTTTTCTTCAGAGGCTCACCAGCATTTGTTGTTTTTTTACTTTTGTTATTATTATATTTGAAACAGAGTTTGCTCTGTCTCCTGGCCAGGCTGAAGTGCAGTGGCATGATCTTGGCTCACTGCAACATACGCCTCCTGGGTTCAAGTGATTCTCCTGCCTCAGCCTTCCGAGTAGCTGGGATTACAGGCGCACACTACCACACCTAGCTAATTTTTGTATTTTTAGTAGGGATGGGGTTTTGCCATGTTGGCCTGGCTGGTCTTGAACCACTGACCTCGGGTGATCTGCCTGCCTCGGCCTCCCAAAGTGCTGCGATTACAGGCATGAGCCACTGTGCCTGGCCTTGACTTTTTAATAATAGCCATTCTGCCGGGTGTGAGATGGTATCTCATTATGGTTTCGATTAGTATTTCTCGGATAATTAATAATGAGTATTTATTCATGTTTTTTGGCCACTTGTATGTCTTCTTTTGAAAAGTGTGTATTCATGTCCTTGCCCATTTTTAATGAGGTTATTTATTCTGCTCATTGAATTGTTTAAGTTCCTCAGATTTCGGGATATTAGGCCTTTGTCATATGCATATTTTACAAATATTTTCTCCCATTCTGCAGGTTATTTATTTACTCTGTAAGGCTGATCTAGTGGTAACAAATTCCGTTAGTACTTGCTTGTCTGGAAAATATTTTATTTTTCCTTGCTTATGAAGCTTAATTTGGCAGAGTATGAAATTCTTGTAATTTCTTTTTTTTTTTTTTTTTTTTTTTTTTAAGAATGTGCTGAAGAAAGGTCTCCAGTCTCTCCTGGCTTCTAAGAATTTTGCTGAAAATTCTGCTGTTAGCCTAATAAGTTTCCCTTTTTATGGTATCTGCCCTTTTCTCTCTGCCTGTAAGACTTTTTCTTTAGCATTGATCTTGGACAATCTGGTGACTACATGCTTTGATTTGGTTCATTTTCTATAGCTTGTCACAGATGTTCCCTGGATTTCTTGTATCTGAATGCCTACCTCTCTAGCAAGATCAGAAAAATTTTCTAAAATTATTTCCTCAAATATGTTTTCCAGGTTGTCTAATTTTTCTCTTTGTGTCTCAGAAATGCCAATAACTAGGAGGATTATGCTTTACCTAATCCCATATTTCTCAAAAACTTCATTTTTTTTTTTTTTTTTTTTGAGATGGAGTCTCACACCGTCACCCAGGCTGGAGTGCAGTGGTATGATCTTCGCTCACTACAACCTCTGCCTCCCAGATTCAAGCAATTCTCCTGCCTCAGCTTCCCTAGTAGTTGGGATTACAGGCACCCACCACCACGCCCAGCTAATTTTTTGTATTTTTGGTAGGGACGGGGTTTCACCATGTTGGCCAGGCTGGTCTCAAACTCCTGACCTTGTGATTCGCCCTCTTCGGCCTCCCAAAGTGCTGGGATTACAGGCATGAGCCACTGCTCCCAACCCATTAATTTTTTAAGATTTTTTTTTCCTTGTCTTTGTCTGAATTAGTTTGAAAGACTAGTCTTTAAGCTCTGACATTCTTTCTGCTGCTTGGTTCAATCTATTGATAAAGCTTTCAATTATATTTTGAAATTGTTTTTTCAATTCCAGAAGCTCTGATTGATTTATTTTAAGATGTTTATCTCTTCCTTTATTTCCTGGATTGGTTTAGAAGTTTCTTTTTGTTAATTTTCAACCTTTTTTAAGATCTTCTTGAGCTTCCTTGCAACCCATGCTTTGAATTCTTTGTCTGTCATTTTTGAGCTTCCATTTTGGTTAGAAGCCATTGCTGGAGAGCTAGTGTGATACTTTGGTGGTACTGCTATTATACATTTTGTATCGTATGTATTATACATATAATACATTCTGATTTTTCATGGTGGCAGAATTCTTTCACTGGTTTCTTCTCATTTGGAAATGCTGACACTTCCAAATTTTTCTAATTATTTTCATTTGGGTAGGAATTTTTCTCCCCTATAATATTGTTTATTTATTTTTCTTTCGATTTCCCCCCTTTTCCCCTCCATAGATTGTGTGTCTATAGAGAATGTTAGGTATGGTCTTTTGGCTTTGCTTCCATATGTAGTCCTCTGCACTTCTTTCGGTAGGTTTTACATGGGTTGTGTGGTTTGATCTACAAGCCAGTAGATGGCACTTATGGGTAAGAACTGGATGCAGCCAACGTGGTTGGGTATATACTTGATCCTTATGTATCAGGAGAAGCTCTCTGTTGCCTTGGACAATGGGCTGATCTGTGGAGTGCCCAGTGGTTTCAGCTCGCTGCTTAGCCCCAGGGGGTTGGAGGCAAGATGGACAGAGCCAGACCAGGCAGGCCCAGCTTCAGGTCTCCTGATAACAGGCACGACATCAGTGCCATGGGAAAGTCCAGTGGCTGGTGACCAAGCATCCTGAAGTGAGCTTAGGCAGGGAGCTGGGAGACCTGCACAGGCAGGGGGCAGCCTAAACCTAATCCAGGAGAGCAGTTGCTCAAGATGACTAAAAACATTCCTGGGTGTAGAGTGCAGAGTGCTCTGCTGTAGGAAGTAAGGTGGTTTGACCTTCTGATCCAGGTGAGCTGGTGCTCTAACTGCATGGAGATCTGCCTAGGCATTGAGTGGAGAAGGCCCCACTGTACCACAGTCTCTGGGCATGGAACAGAAAGGGTCCTGCTGCATTGTGATCTCTGTGCAGAAAGGATGAAGCAGTTCAGAATGCCAAGCTGGGTGAGCAGGTGCTCCAAATACCTGGAGATCTGCCTGGATGTGAAATGGAGAGGGCCCCCTGCACCATGATCTCTGCACAGAAGGTTGGGACAGGTCAGGCTGCTGACTGAGTGCTCTGGATGCCTGGAGATATACCTGAGCATAAAGTGGAGAGGACATACTGCACCACAATCTATGCCCCGGTAGGGTGGAGCAGCTCAGGTTGCTGATCCAGGAGAGAAGTTGCTCTGAATGCTTGGAGGTTTTCCTAGATATGAAGTGAAAAGGGCCTCACAGAACCAAGATCTCTGCACAGGAAGGGTGGGGCAGGTCAGGCTGCTAATCCATATGAGTAAGTGCTTTGAATGCCTGGAGTTCTGCCTGGGGTGGATCAGAGTGATCCCTGCTGTACCACTATCTCAGGGGATCAGGCTGGAGTACCCAGCAATGACACATGCAAACTAGTTCCAGGTCACCAAGCTGGCCTTGACTGCAAGCCTTGCCTACCAGAAGAAAGTGCAGCTGTAGCAGCTCTCCTCCTGCCCCAGAGCAGTCCTAATGCCTATTTCTGAGGTGCTTTCCAAAATTCTGGCTTTGGAGGTACCTACCCTGCTCCAGAACAAATGCACCAATCTCTAGCCTGAGTTGGAAATGCCTGCATGGCTACACTGGTGGTTCCCCAAAGAAGGACTGACTTTGTATACATTCAGATTAAAAATGGCATCCTGCTCTCAGTTCTAGGTCTAGGAAAATGCCTCTAGTTTTTCCTGGTGCGTTTTCCTCTCAATGCCTCCAAACCTTTCCCTATGTTAGCTCCAGGTCTTGGGAGAAATGAAGTGCTCTCCCTTTGCCTGGGTTGCTTGGATTCCCAGTGGAAAGATGAGTCACAGAAGGAAGTTCCCTGCATCTTTTACGTACTGGGGTTTCACTCATTTTTATCAGCCAGATTCTGTCACAGAGGCTGTTGGACCACATTTTCCTCCTTGGGATCTGGGATGTACATCACAATTTCAGTGGAATCCTGTTTTCCTTCTTGAATTAAAGCACAGAAAGTTGATCTTTATGCACTATCTTGCTGCTTCCAAGTGGCAGAGGCATACTAAAATCCCCTACTCTGCTATCTTGGGGGAAAAAAGAAAATTGAAATAAACTAAAATTTAATATTATGACTAAGTTATAATTTAGTAGTCTGTGTGAAAGCAGAAAGAAGTCTAAGAAGGCTTATACTACACAAGTACCTATTAGGTACTCACATGTAATTATTGTGTAAACATATATAATATTTTATTTGCCTGTACATTTTATCTATCTAGCTAGCTGTATCTTAACGACCTATGTCTCTATTTTCAGTAATATCCCTTTGAGGATGAGGAAGATAATAGACAAGGGCCACTAATAAAGCAGTAGCACTTGAAGTTACTTGTTCAAAATCAAAACACACTATATTCTTTGGAGAAATGATTTTTATTGCTACAGTTAGGAAGAGAGCCTGGATTGCTCCTTTGTTTTGGTCCAGTGTGTTTTGGTTCTGGCAGAGATTTTGTTGTTATAATGGTCTCATTGCAGTACTCAAACTAGAAATAGCAGGTGTAAGAAATGACATCATTTTCTCCAGGAACTGCAATGACAATAAAAAAAAATCATGTGCAGTTGAAATACTTGGAGTTTCATATCAATACTGGATTCCTGAGCACATATTAATTTATTCACCAATCTCTCTCTAACATACCACTCTGCTTCAACCTCTATAATTGCCTAATACAATTATTATTGTTGTAATTTATAGGTGTCACCTCTTATTTGTATGCCACAGAGTACTTTGCTGTCCAAACCTAGTCATTACATAACTTCCACCTTCACCCCATAGACTGAGGAAAAAGCTCATTTATATCCAGAGCTTAATAACTTATGCTTATCACATAATTTTATCTCTTTCAATTTTATCTCTCAGAATTTTCCTCCAAAATCACTAAAAAAGTTACGAGATCCTGAGACTCAAAATTGGTAAGAACTTTGGTTTCTGTGTTCTAGAAAACAGTGACCACTTAATTATAAAAGTTCAGAAATTATACAATAACAATTTGGCATCCAATTGAGAATATACTATTAGCATCTAATTATTCTCTATTGAATTTTCTGACCTGAATGTATTACTTATGAATGAGAATAGAGGAAAAAATGACTTGTTTGTTCAATAAACCCTTTTATGATTTATCCAAGCTACTTAATTTAGTGCTTACTTTTTTTGAGTACTGCACCTTGAGAAAATGCATCCTACAAAATACCCTGTTTGTCCAGAACATTTATTTGGAATGAATTAAAGCTCTTAAAGGTGCTACTATTTTCTTGCTTTATCATGCCTTTAGGAGATTTCTTAGTTCCTGTCAAGGTACCCAATACTCCTTGTTAAAGGTTGATGTAAAATGCCACAAAACAACTCTAGGGGTGTGTGGGCAGTCTTCATAATGTCAAAGAGATGTTATATTTATTTATAATGAAACTGTAGTTATTTACTTTCGATTTTAAGCTGATTTGTCACTTTAATTTTCTGTTCAATCATGCCACTTTAAACAAAGGAAATAAAAATAGAGATAAACAATATGATCACTTTATTAATTAATATCATTGAAAAAGAAGTCATATAAGTTTTGTGAAACACATCTCAAAGTTGCATATAAAATCCTACAGAATTTTTGCCTGCATATTCCCTACTTTAAATGCTGAAACAATAACACAATTGTTGGCAGTTAACAAGAAAATGTTATTGAAGAAATCTACTTACTAAACATGACCTAACCTTGTCCTATTTTTCATGCTGTTTTTTTAATCTACAGCGATACAAGGCTTTTGTGAGCTTCTAGAACAGATCAGGTCCCCAAAGAAAAGTACATGGGCAAGCAATTAAGAAAGCTTTAGAAGTGGCTGGCTTGCTTGCGAGCTGCTCATAATGATCATCATTGTTCTTAGACTCAAATCTGCGACTAGTGGTAAAATAAGAGGATGAACACATGAGGGCAAACTTGGTAAATTTCAGCAGTGAAACAGAGGAGAAGGAATACACATCCTTAATGAGATATTCAATACCAAAGCTAAGATTAAACATATATCTAATCTTGCCATATCTTTGGTATTGAATATCTCCCCTATTTCACAGATAAGATGAAACAAATTCAAAAACAGAAAGATTTAGCCAGCTTATTCATTCACATTCCTTACCTTTTATTCTTATATATTCTTCTGGACTCTCTATTCTTCCATTTGTTTCTTTATACTGAAATCAGAATTCCTACAGCGGCACTACTGACATTTGGATGGGTTGATTCTTTGATGGGTGAATGGAGGCTGGACTGTCTTGTACACTGTAAGCTGCTTAGCCGTATCCCTGATTTTTATTCACTACATTTCATACACACAACTATCCTGTACCCTAATTACCACAACTAAAATTGTCTCTAGATATTGGCAAATATTCCCTGGGAGGTAAAATTACCCCTAGTTTAGAACCACTGTACTGAAAGGAAAAGAAACTGTATTAAATTAGGTGATGCTGACTTCTTTTCTTAGATCTCAGTTGCTTAACACAATAAAAGATTATGTTTTTCTTACATTATAGGAAAGTGTAGACATTTTTGGTCAGATGGTCTAGCATAGTATGATGAAGAAATTTAAGCTCTTTACATCTTACAGATCTATCTTCTTCGAGGAGCTTCAAGTCCTCTCCATTCATCCTGAAGATGAGAAAAGAGACCAGAAAAAAACACATTCAATTTTTAAATTACTTGGGAGAGGAATAGATATATACGTTTTATTTTTTATCTTCCATTAAGAAAAATATTAATTAGTCTCACATAGATGTACATAAACTGGGAAGTGTAGTTCCTAGACAGGCTGCCATTTCAAAGCAATTATCACACTTGAAGAAAAGCAGCAAAAGTCTTTGGGGGGCAGAGATGAGGTTCCACTTAGCCTTCTTTGCTGCATAGACTTGAAGTAGTTTATACTTCTTTATGTGCCCCCTCAGTTTGGGATGCTGATAGAGGTTTGCGAGAGGAACCAAACCAAGGTACCCCTGGACAGAGAATATTTTAAAATATTTAGCCCGAAGGGAAAAAAATCAGAAACCTACAGACATTATAGTTCTATAATTGGGATGATAAGAAACATATGATTTTGAGCCTTTCAAAAAATGTGCCACATATTTTAGAAGATTGAGAGGCTTCATAAGAATCTTGTAAACCCATATGATTGTGGAGATGCCAATTAGGCTATTTAAAATTAATTGCCTTTTTTACGTAGGGACTATGATGGCCTTGATGACAATGTGACAAAACTTGAAACACAAGGAAGATGGTCTTTTGAAAGCCAGAACATTATCTCCTTAGGAGTAACCAGCAATGTAGGTCTTGATTTTTGAAAACTGTCTCCCTCAGTAAGGTCTTTGTTATAAGTGTCTCCAGAGAGCTATCCCTGGTTCTGATATTTTATTCCCAACTTTTCTGTAACGAAGGGACAATATCTTTATTCTTGACCCAATATTTGCCTCAAACATTGTCCTCCTGACTTTAACTATCCTTTACACTACTGTCCACTGGACCAAAATCAATCTGTGAAGCCATCATTACACCTTAAACAATTTCCAATTTTATTTTCATCAACTTTGTGCCTGCTGCCTGAGTTAATAAGTACCTAGTTTAATCTTCACATGTCCAGGATATGCCCCAGAACTACATTCTGTTTTCTACCTGTATTAGTTATACATCACCATAAGATACATATATTGTGCATATAGCCAATGTTTAGGGAAGTACTTTCATAAGGAATCAATAACTATTGTAAAAGTTAAACTAATTTTCATGGGTTGTTACTGTTAAAATATTAGAGAATGACTTAGAGATAAATCTAAGTTCAAAATCTAAATTAGTGATAGTATGATATATTATTGATATGGTTTGGCTCTGTGTTCCCACCCAAATCTCATCTTGAATTGTAATCCCCAAATTCCCCACGTGTCAAGGGAGGAAGCTGGTGGGAGGTGATTGGATCAAGGGGGCAGTTTCCCCCATGCTGTTCTTGTAATATTGAGTGAGTTCTCATGAGATCTGATTTAAACAAAATGTTATTTTACTTTAAGTTCTGTGATACATGTGCCAAACGTGCAGGTTTGTTACACAGGTATACATGTGCCATGGTGGTTTGCTGCACCTATCAACCCATCATCCAGGTTTTAAGCTCCCCATGCATTAGGTATTTGTCCTAATTCTCCCTCGTCTTGCCCCGGATTCCCTGACAGGCCCAGGTGTGTGATGTACCACTCCCTGTGTACATGTGATGTCATTGTTCAACTCCTACTTATGAGTGAAAACAAGTGGTGTTTGCTTTTCTGTTCCTGTGTTAGTTTGCAGAGGATGATGGTTTTATAAGTGTTTGACAGTTCCTCTTTCACATGCTCTCTCTGGCCTACAGCCACATAAGACATGCCTGCTTCTCCTTCCGCCATGATTGTAAGTTTCCTGAGACCTCCCAAGCCATGCCACACTGTGAGTCAATTAATCCTCTTTCCTTTATAAACCACCCCATCTCAGGCAGTTATTTGTAGCAGCATGAGAACAAACTAATACAATTATGAAAATAATGATTTAGCTGTAAATTTATACTTTTGCTAATTAAGTTTCTCATCTTTTTCGGTAATCCCAATGATTACCTGTAAAAGGTGAAGTGCTTTAAATGCTGAAACAGTAACACATCTGTTGGCAGTGAACAAAAAAAATGTTTATTGAAGACCGGGCGCGGTGGCTCACGCCTGTAATCCCAGCACTTTGGGAGGCCAAGCCCGGCAGATCACGAGGTCAGGAGATCGAGATCATCCTGGCTAACATGGTGAAACCCCATCTCTACTGAAAATACAAAAAATTAGCCGGGCGTGGTGCGGGCGCCTGTAGTCCCAGCTATTCGGGAGGCTGAGGCAGGAGAATGGCGTGAACCCGGGAGGCGGAGCTGGCAGTGAGCTGAGATTGCGCCACTGCACTCTAGCCTGGGCGACAGAGTGAGACTCCTTCTCAAAAAATAAAAATGTTTATTGAAGTAATCTGATTGCCAAATATGACCTAACCTCGTATATCTACATATACATGATGTATACATAATATATGTATACATATGTATGTATATATGTAGCAGGTAATGAAATTATAAGTGCTGTCTTCATACTCAATATATTATCTCACATGATTCCATGTAATGTGCATGTTTCACTCTGTCAGTAAGGAAAGAAAGGATAAGAGATCAGTTTGGTATTATGTTTTGGTTATTTTCTTCAGTGACCTTTTAGCATATAAAGTGTAATTCTTATGCCAAACACACAAAACACGTTACCTGAACTAAGAAGAACTGTATTTTTCAGGGTTGACTCCTATGAAAGAGTAAGTTTTAACAGCCCAGGGCACAAATAAACCAGCTTGAGGAATATTGATCAGGCAGGCTTGCAGTATTTGAGCTGACTGGAAAATGTACTTTTGCTCCTCAATTAGAATCAAGTTCAGAATCAAGAAAACTAGAGAAATTTCTTAAAAATATAAAACAAAACACACCTGAAGTGTAAGGAGCTCTAATTTTTATAAGAATTAAGTTAAGTCAGGGATTCTCAAGAGAAGAAAAAATTTATATACTGCCATGAGAATGGTATACCTAAGACACTTTATTTTCCTTGCATCTGGGTTGACGTTTTTCCAGATAATAAGATAAAATGTACTTGATTTCTATACGTTTTATTTAATATAAAGTAAATCTGAATATTTTAATTTGTGTTTCATTGGCCTAATAATATATTATACTATTAAACATTGAAACATGTAAAATCATATGCATAATTCCCTTGCTAGATTCTCCATAGAAATCAAAAGAAACTGACAAATACAGCAAGATTTCTATACTTAATGAGACATTCCTTTTTATGCAGTTAAGACCCATGTCATTTGAACATGGGAAGGGAAAAGTTCAACCTAAGTGGTATGAACAAAACATATTTATAGGCTATTTTTAAAATGTTGACCTTTGCTATACTAAATATTGTCGATCATGGATAGAAATTTATAAAATTTTCAGCCCATTTTTCAGTTGTTTGAATAGTAGATATAGCTTGAAGGTAAAAATAATTCTCAAGCACTAGGATAATCAGTCCAGTTTGACAGTAATCCTAGATTATTGATTATATGATTTAAGCTTTGCCGACTGCTTTCATTTTACCCATACACACATCTGGCAATTTTGTTGTTTACCCAGCATATAGCTGATCTTCAAACGCCTAAGGAAAAAATCATTTTAAAGAATGATATTGTTCACTTCTTAAAATCAGGTAATATGTGGCCATGTTCTTCCCTGTATGCCTGTATTCTTCCTTAAATGTTTTCTAAGACCATGTTTTACAAACTTTAAGTACATGTGAATCATGTGTGCATCTTGTTAAAATGTAGAATCTGGACAGCAGGTCTGGAGTAGAGCTTGATATTCTGTGTTTCTTGCAAGCTCCCAGGTGATGCTGATGGTGCTCATCTGCAGACCACATTTCTAATAGTGAGGCATTAGTCTGCAATGCAATCGTGGTGAAATATTTAACCTTCTTATTTTAGGACCTCCATTTTCACAAAAGAAATGCAATAGGGACAAGTGACATATCACGATTAAGAGTATGGGTCTTGTGTCAGGTGACCTGAATTTGACTTCCAGTTTTCTCCCTTCCTTTTCTCTTGACTAAGCTGCTAAACCTGTCTACACCTCAGCTTTCCATTATATAAAAGTGGATAATATCTGGTTCTGCATCATGGAGTTGTTGTGTGAATTATATAGGATGATGCTTATAAAGTTCCTAGCCTACTGACTGGCAGGAATGTAGTTAAGTACTGTAAGATATTAGGTATTATTATTTATATTTACAACCTCTGAAGTTGAAGGGGTTTCTAAAATTATGTAGTGTGACGCTTTATTATAAAAGCTTGAAATATTGAGACATGTAAGATAAACTGAGTTTCTTTGAATCACTAAGCAAATGTTTGTTAATGGCCTGGGTGGTAGCATATTAGAGGCAAGATCTGAGAGAAAATCTGGAGGGATAAATACAAGGGAAAGAAAGTTCTTTATTTGTACAAAAACAAATTAAACTGAAACAAACCAAGCATATGCCTTATTACTTAACAGATACTTATATTTTTTAAAATACATTTCTATTCTTCCAAACATCAAGTTATTTGTGATATTTCAATTTATAATACCACTTATAGAATTTTAGAGGCATTTTTAGAAGAGAAAATCTTCAAGTGAAAATAGAAATTTATGACATAACTCTGCAAAGAGTAATTGCTTGGCAGATAACATCACATTCTTTCATACTTAAACGTTTCTTGTTCATTTTAAGTTGTGTGTCTATCACTGTCTGGCGCTGAAATCAAGAGACAGGCATTTTAATTCCATTTCTGTGACTCACTGATTGTGGCTTCTTGAGTAAGTTACTTAATCTATCTCTGGATCAGTTTTATCAACTATAAAATATACATTTTTTCTCCAATCATTATAGTCATGGGTATTGATAAAAAATGTGTTGTTGACTATTATCAGTATGAGTTCGTAATAACACACCTTCAGCAATTGATTAAGGCCATTAGTAGCTTAAGCACTTTGTGTAGGGAATCCTATGTCAGTGACTTATGCAGTCATAGAAAGTAAGGACTCATTTCTTTGTGTTAAAAAGACTGAGAAATTGGGTCAATTTTATGCAGCTGTCAATGTTATGCAAGCTACATTATTAACTATACATGTGTAGGCCCCTGTATTTTCTTAAAAGAAAAAAGTACATCACACCATTGTAAAATATTAAGTTTATTTCCAGCTGAACTTTGTAAATAAGTTTTAATTTTATTTAATTGTATTAGGGTGTATATGCAAATTGTCTATGACGCTTTACAAAACATTTTCTTATAACTTGAGTTGGGGTTATTTTTCCATTATTTTATGCCTCTATGGCCTTCCTTCTTTCTTACAAAATGGCATCCAAATGCAGACATATTAATAGAAAACATATGGTCTTAGTAAAGTGGATTCTTAACTTTTTGTCAGAGATGGATTAATGGTTACTGACTCAGATATGTCTCTACAGGAAGTACATTTCGAAGCTCTAGATTGTGAAGTTTCCTGTGTTCCCGAAGATTTTCTTCCTAATCAAGATAAAGATTTATCTAACAAACGTTCATTTCCTTTGAAATTGGAAAAGTATTAAGAAATATGATTTTTTTTTTTAGTTGCCTCAAGTAAAGCCTACCAAAACTATTTGGGCAGCTTCTCCTTATTTCTTTCTAGAGATTTTGCATATAAACTTCTTTTACCTATTGAGAATGCTATTATTTCAGCATTTTTCATGTGCCCGTTGCTGATTGTTCCTGAAGCCCCATCCCTTTAACTGTCATCTGTCCCTCTGTGGGTCATTCAGGAACACCAGATAGAGCTAGTGCTTATATTTATAACTTTGGCCCAACATGATAGTTGATGCAAGTGTAAAGAATATTTTAAGAGGTAACTTAAGCATGTGGAATAGAAAGCACAATATCTCTCTAGGTGTATTCCTACAAGAGTGCTATCAAATTAAATTAACATTTTTAGTCAAAGAAAAGGACTAAAAGGTGTTCTGGCCTCCTTAATAAAGCTCTTTTCTTAATTTAGGAAGCTTCGAGCTTTAAACATTTGGTTTGAAATGTGTCTAGTAAAAATGCCTGAATTGTCTAAGCCTATGTAAAAGTCTGTGAGAAGGAATGTTCAGGAGCCTTCTCTGTTTACAAATGTTTCCCTTAGCACATCAGCAGTTTGCCTGGCCCCCAGATAACATTTTGAAATATGTCTTAGCCAAACGTCAAACCAGATAGTTAATTATAAGAATAGATATTTTCTTGGTTGAAAATTCTTTTCTTTAAGAATGTTGAATATTGGCCCCCACTCTCTTCTGGCTTGTAGGGTTTCTGCCGAGAGATCTGCTGTTAGTCTGATGGGCTTCCCTTTGAGGGTAACCTGACCTTTCTCTCTGGCTGCCCTTAACATTTTTTCCTTCATTTCAACTTTGGTGAATCTGACAATTATGTGTCTTGGAGTTGCTCTTCTCGAGGAGTATCTTTGTGGCGTTCTCTGTATTTCCTGAATCTGAACGTTGGCCTGCCTTGCTAGATTGGGGAAGTTCTCCTGGATAATATCCTGCAGAGTGTTTTCCAACTTGGTTCCATTCTCCACATCACTTTCAGGTACACCAATCAGATGTAGATTTGGTCTTTTCACATAGTCCCATATTTCTTGGAGGCTTTGCTCATTTCTTTTTATTCTTTTTTCTCTAAACTTCCCTTCTCGCTTCATTTCATTCATTTCATCTTCCATTGCTGATACCCTTTCTTCCAGTTGATCTACTCATCTGACAAAGGGCTAATATCCAGAATCTACAATGAACTCAAACAAATTTACAAGAAAAAAACAAACAACCCCATCAAAAAGTGGGCGAAGGACATGAACAGACACTTCTCAAAAGAAGACATTTATGCAGCCAAAAAACACATGAAAAAATGCTCATCATCACTGGCCATCAGAGAAATGCAAATCAAAACCACTATGAGATATCATCTCACACCAGTTAGAATGGCAATCATTAAAAAGTCAGGAAACAACAGGTGCTGGAGAGGATGTGGAGAAATAGGAACACTTTTACACTGTTGGTGGGACTGTAAACTAGTTCAACCATTGTGGAAGTCAGTGTGGCGATTCCTCAGGGATCTAGAACTAGAAATACCATTTCACCCAGCCATCCCATTACTGGGTATATACCCAAAGGACTATAAATCATGCTGCTATAAAGACACATGCACATGTATGTTTATTGCGGCATTATTCACAATAGCAAAGACTTGGAACCAACCCAAATGTCCAACAATGATAGACTGGATTAAGAAAATGTGGCACATATACACCATGGAATACTATGCAGCCATAAAAAATGATGAGTTCATGTCCTTTGTAGGGACATGGATGAAATTGGAAACCATCATTCTCAGTAAACTATCGCAAGAACAAAAAACCAAACACCGCATATTCTCACTCATAGGTGGGAATTGAACAATGAGATCACATGGACACAGGAAGGGGAACATCACACTCTGGGGACTGTGGTGGGGTGGGGGGAGGGGGGAGGGATAGCATTGGGAGATATACCTAATGCTAGATGACGCGTTAGTGGGTGCAGCGCACCAGCATGGCACATGTATACATATGTAACTAACCTGCACAATGTGCACATGTACCCTAAAACTTAAAGTATAATAAAAAAAAAAAAGAAAAAAAAAACACTGTACACTTAGGCTATACTAATAAAAAATTCTTTCTTTAATGATAAAAAAAGAATAGATATTTTCTTAATTTTCTTATAAATAAACATAGGTTCTGTATGTTGTTTAAAACTGGAGTTGTCTGAAAAATATTTAGCACACATAAAAGTAAAAGAAAAAGGAAGCCCATTTCAGGAAGTATTAATTAAAATTGGCTTTGTAATAACCATGAAATTCACTTTCTTGCTTGATGGAGATACAGAACTTTTGATTTGAGTCATACGGACAATCTAGGATGTTGTGAGGGAGTACAGAAAGTATGCACCTGAAATGTAATAAACTTAGAAAGAAAAGATCTCTACTGACAAATCACTTTTATTTGACACCTCAGTGGTGAACACTGAGCTCTGACAGATTTGAAATTAGCATGTGAATTCATTTTGGTAAGTGAATAGGGAAACATTGTTTTGTCACACAATGATGATCTATTGAAGAAAGCAACCATTCTACCAGAAAACTTGCTTTCTTTGATGTATATGTATTCAATGGGGCAGAGCTTGACAGCTGCTTTATTTAGGAAAAAACACCATTAATACTGAAATTCTTAATGTATAGCTGCAACTGGTTTTTAGAGTCAAACATGGGCCCAATTTGAGCTAATATTGGTACAAAGACCCTGTAGCTCTCATTGCCGGACTACTTTACATAGTCTATAGGAATAGCTGTGTGATTTGACTCTATTCTGGGAGCTGGCTTTGATCAGAAATAATTTCTGTCATATAAACAATATTTTGATAAGCTTCCTATATTCCATGTTTGTACTATGATGATAGTTCATCCCCTTGGAATTATCAGTAGGATAATTGGGTCCTGAAGACCTGCTCAATTAGTGTTTTCTTTTATGAGGCACTCTATCCCTTGGAAAGCAGGGGCATTTACTACTCAATGCAGAACCTGAGACAAAGCATTACAAATCATAACTTATAATAACAAATGCTAATATTAAGATATTACAATTCATCCGTCAAAGGTCTATTTTTCAAAGATGGCTTTTTTTTAAGGCTTTGGTTTTTCTCCTTGGCAAAGTGAAGGCCTCTTCCCCATACTGGGCTCTAACATCCTCCAGGGTGGAGCACTGACATGAGACAGTCGGAAAAAGCCATGTGACTACCCCGGTCTGAGGGGCTATTTGCCTTGTAGCTTTTAAAAGCAAGGTCAGAGTTTCTGTCACTATTTTCACAGTTGGACTCCAACTTGAGATTCACAGAACAAATCACAGGAGGCAACCACAACCAAGTCTTGTTCTCCGTGTACTGGCCTCTGCCTGAGGCAGCCATTTTGTCAGTGTCTGCATTTTACCTCCTCTCAATACATAGCGGGGAGAATAGTTGCTGCTAAATGAGTTCATAAAAATTCAAAGGCAGTTGACAGAAAAAATAGTTGGTCAAAAGAAGGAAAATTTATGATAAGAGTTTATTTGCAAAATGAAAAAAAAACCTGGGCTTTCACTTTCCAGGAAAATTTGTGAAGTGCTGTTTTCTTTGACTGATACATCATTACCTTAAGCGAAATTGAGGAATTGAAGCAATTCTGTAAACATTATAGGCAAAGCCGTCAATCAGGGTTTTACCTCATATACAGAAATAAACTCTTTTGTGTGTGTGTGTGTGTATAGATAATTTAATTTTTGCCTTTTGAATAATTAATGTGAAAGCTCCTGTTTTAACCCAGTTCAGGTTTTGGTTTGCTTCTGTCACATTTGTGGCAAGTGCTTTGTTACAATTGGAAAGTGGTTTTTGCTCACTTTTTCTTGTACTCCATTTATAAGTCAAACTCAAAGGAATGTATTTTTTAGCAAGTAACCAGAGACACTCTGAAAATCGAAAAGATGAAATAACTGCTAAAGACTGAGGGAGTCAAGGGGTGTTCTGATAACCTGTAGCTCCCAGGGCAGACATTAGGGCTGTCCTGACTGGTCCACTTACCACCCCCTTCAAAACTGCAAGCCTCCTGTCTGCCAGGCCAGAGAGAAAGACAAGACAAGTAAAGGAGAAGGTTACACAAACATATGGGAGGGTAAAGAGAACATCAAAATCATAATGTGATGGGCGTGCAATGGAATTTGGAGTCCACTGGTTCAGTATTTCTTAAATCATTATCTGAGGGCTGCCTGGAAGAATTACCACTCCTCTCCACTGAATCAGGCTTCATGCAGTTGTAGGCCTAGGTACAAGCACACCAGGGAATTTTAAAATACATGTTAATAGTTGCAAATCACTGATACTGATCCAATGTTTCTTTAAAAACTATTGATTTAATTTGGTCACATCATCATCAATATCATAATGGATAGAGTTTATTGATAATTTAGATTTGCAGGGCACTGTGCTTTGTAAGATTTACCTTTAACCTTTGCAATAATCTATAAATTAGAGTCACATAAGCTATTGCAAGTAAAAGGAAATATCAGAGGAACTTTTCCAAGTTTTACAACAGTTAGTTAGGGACAGAATCGGAATTAAATCTGTCTTCTGACTCTAGAGTCTTTACTCTTGAATGCTTTGTAGATTAAAAAATATGCTTTCTGTAGAGACTCTAAAGTAGGGTGAATAAATAGGAAATGTTAAAAAAATACCATTAACTTGAATACCTGAAAGATAGTCTGGAAAGCTTAATCTCATCTAGTCTGTTGTATTAACAGAAATGTTGGAGTTGGTCACGAGGTAGAAAAAAGGAACATGGGGATATGGAACATAAAATAAGACCATCCTAAATTCTCTAAAAATTTCCTAAGGAACTTGGAATCTGCATTGGCAAATGACAAGTGAAGAATAGTAAAGAGTCTTTTGAGTGATTGGGAAAGATAATTTTAGTTCCAAATTTAGAATTCGCATTTTCTTAATATTCTTTCCATTCACTTTGTTAGGTTCCACTCTGTTTGCTGAAAGTACCTGGCGTAATACTACATCACAGGGTTAGATTTTAAAAAAAATATTTGCATTAGGCCATAAAATAGTCCTACTGCCCTGAGATGATTAGTGTGCAGCAGATCCAGCACAAAATGGTTCAAATAGTTCAAAGGAGTCATAGCTTAATATGAGCATAGTTTTGATTTAACTCTTCCTATAGATATGCCCTCTGTTCAAGGACCTTATGCTTTTATAATGTATGTGACATCATCAGTACATGTTTATCATAGAACTTTGTGATAAGTCCTTTGTGTCATTCCAGGGCTTTTGCAGCTAAGTCTTGTTGAGTGCCAAGGAAACTAGTTGTAAAATTGAATCTGACAGCTGTTAATATTCCTATTCACTGAAAAAGTGCATTCCGTTAGCATAAGTCACATAGGATACTTTGTGAAAGGGTTTCATGATCACAGACATTTTGGAAATTCCATATGATACTCCACTCCTTGCAAATTTACAATGCATACTTCAGTGTATTACAAGTTAGGAGAAATTCTTTGTGAAATTAATTTTATCTTTGCTAAATCCAGAATTTCACAAGTTTATTTCACATAGAACTCTTTTCTGCACATATTTCGTATATAATGTGGAATTAATATTCAATTAAATACCAGATGGGAAAAACTGTATTGGTGTTTTAATATAAAAATAAAGTATTTGTTGGAGTATAATACTACCTCCTTCCTCTCTTTCCTGTCTTGCAATTAATTATAAAAAGTCATCTTTCTAGCTCTTCAGATTTATCATGATGTCTTGATAGACAAGAAGCCTCTTTAGGTCCTGTGGAAACAATGATAAGACTGCATTTTAGAGAATATTTTATTCAGGGAATGTGTAAATGGAACATTTAAAAATATAAAAGATTTGCAAGATCATCATGAAATTATACCAAAATACATTTAATATATGCTTTGTTAGTAAATGCTATATTAAACAGTGGCCTGTGCTGGAATGAATTACTGTCATAAGTCATAAGAAAGACCTGGTTTCAAACCATAGCTCTCCACAATGTTATTTTATGCCCTGGGACGATTTCTCTAACCTCCTCATTTGTAAAATGTGGTTGAAAATGACTAATTTATAGGTGTGTGAAGAGGGTGTGGATGTATTCTATGTAAAACACCTTGAGAGAAAAAAATTATAGAAGTGAAAATATAAAAAGACAATGAGGCCAGCTGATATTTTACTTAATATAAGTATATTTTTCTTTTATGTGTGTATAAAACATGTTTTATTATATTAAACATAAAAGTTGTTTCTACATTCTACTAAACACCCTGATGAAAAATTAAAACAAAATTAACCAATCACTGCTAATTATGTAGACAACCAGATGTTTGACGTTGAATAGATAAACATCTGGTTCACAAATTTAGTTTTTTACTTTTCATATGCAAGTTGGGATGATGCTGATTGATGTATATTTCTGTAAAAATTTTTCAAAGTAACAGGCATGTGACTGGTACAAAATAAATAAGGTATGGAGCAGGGAAAACATTCTAATTTTAGGTTAATTTTAATCTCAGAATTAATATTTACTCTTCAATTTCATATCCCATTCAATTAATTGAACAATATTGTAACTTTATGATATACCAAGTCCTGCATTAGACAATATGGACTTAAAAATAAACAAAATAATCCTGCATAGAGATAGATCATATTAGAAAGAAAACAAATTCTTGCAACAATGAAAATTTAACATTAGCATTGAAGTAGCATCAGGGTGCCACAGGCATACAAGTAGGCTCCTTTGCCCTCTTCTAGCTAGAGGAATTGGGTAGGAGAAGAAATGTCTGGGAAAATTTCCAAGGTGAAGACGATATTGGGGTTGAGTAATAAGTATAAGCTGAAAGGAGGAGGAGGTGATGGGCATTCAGGGAGCTCATGAATTTGCCTCTGGAGCTTTAGATCTACATGCAGGTTGTTTGAAAGATGAGACAAAGAAGGCAAAATTCTAACTAGCTTTCTCTTATAGTCAGTGGGAGTGATGTGCTGCTGCCCAGAATGTGAGGGCAGGAGTGTTAAGGATGGATTGTTTAGGGAGATAGGTAACCAGTAAGAAGAATATAATATTTTTCTGGGATTATAAAATTCATACTTTAGAAGAGGACCGGTTGTAGACATACAGATGAGCTAAAAGTAATCTGAGTTGGTGATACTAGGAGTGGGGAGTGAAGAAGAGTAAAGTTTGCAGATGTCTTTCAGTTTCTGCTGAGTGAAATTATTGGCCTCTCCATGTAAGACAGGAAAGGAGAAACAAACAACGGTGTGGATAAATATGGTGAATTTGGATTTTGACATCCATGTGAGCTGTAAAAGGGAGATATCTAGAAGGTCTCAAAAATAAGTGGTCTGGGTTGAAAAACAGATTTTGCAGATGTTGAAATTCAATCAAGAATAAGAAGAAATACTATAAACATTATAAACACTGAATTGAAATTTAATCTATGGGTTTATTTAAACAATAGCCCAGAACACCAATGTGGTGGGCATCTATTTTGAAATTGATTCACTATGGATTTAATAAACTAATGCCTTTGGATAATCAAAAAATTGAAAATACTTTGTTATTTGTGCTCTGGTGGAATCTGTGAGCAGTGATGCCAATGCTGTTTTATGTTGATCATAGCTAGAACTGCATGAGTTTGTGGGTTACTTTCTACAAGACCATTTCATTCTAATTGGAATGCTAATGATGTGAGAGGTGCTATGTACCCTAGAGTCTATTTGTATATTTAAAGGAAACTATTTTTAATTCATTTTTTGTCTATGAGTCTAAATAGCAGAAATAGATGTAAGTGCCTCTAAAACTGTTGAATAATTCTATGATATATGGATTTGGAAATAGTATGACTTACTTTGTGATAGAAATATTTTGGGTGAGAATCCAAAATATTGAAGTTGTCCTTAATATTGACAATGTCTCAACTCATCCTGTGGTGTCTATAACTAATAGTAATAGTAATAGGACCTGTTAGGTGGAACCAGATATTGATCCCTATCATCAGGCTGTAGAGTCCATGACTCACTGTGATTTTACTTGATTTATAGAGCCAAGAAGATTTTAGTTTTGGGCTAGTGCTTGGGATGAAACACTAATATACACCTTTGAATTAAAGGTGAAGCTAAACTTCTGAAGAGGTCAGGGCTTTGCAACCCTCCACAGCAAGATCTGAGATATACTCAGAGCTTGAAGACTGGATGTCAAAAATGACTAAATCAAAACAAAGAAAAAACAGTAAAGAAGAATGACCAAAACCTCTGAGAAATATGGGATTATATGTAAAAAGATCAAATCTATGACTAATTGGCCTTCCAAAAAGAGAGGGAGAGAAACCACACAACTTGGAAAACATATTTCAAGATATTGTCCATGAAAATTTCCTCAATCTTGCTGGAGAGGCCAATATTAAAATTTGGGAAATACAGATAACCTCTGCAAAATACTACACAAGAAAACCATCCCCAGTACACATAGTCATTAGATTCTCCAAGGTTGAAATGTAAGAAAAAATGTTAAAAGTAGCTAAAGAGAAGGGGCTGGTCACTGACAAAGGGAACCCCATCTGGCTAACTGCAAAACTATCAGCAGAAACCCTACAGGCTAGAAGGGATGGAGGGCTGATATTCATCATTCTTTAAGCAAAAGTATTTTCAGTCAATAATTGTATATCCAGCCAAACTAAGCTTCGTAAGTGAAGGAGAAATAAGATCCTTTTCAGACAAGCAAATGCTAAGGGAATTCATTAACACCAGACCTACTTTACAAGAAGTCCTGAAGGAAGTGCTAAGTGTGGAAAGCAAAGACCATTATTGGCCACTACAAAAACACACTTAAGTACATAGCCACTACAAAGCAACCACAGAAACAAGTCTGCATAATAACCAGCTGTTAACATGGTGAGAGGATCAAATCTGTACATATCAATATTAACATTGAATGTAAATGGGCTAAATGCACCAATTAAAAGCCACAGAGGGGCAAGTTGAATAGAAGCAAAACCCAACAGTGTGCTGTCTTCGAGAGACCCATCTCATATGCCATGACACCCACAGGCTCAAGTAAGGGAATGGAGAAAAATCTACCAAGCAAATGGAAAACATAAAATTCATGGGTTACCATTCTAATTTCAGACAAAACAGATTTTAAACCAAGAAAGATTAAAAAAGACAAAGAAGGGCATTACATAATGGTAAAAGGCTCAATTGAACAAGAGGACTTAACTATTCTAAATATATATGCACCCAACACAGGAGCTACAGATTCATTTTGAAAGTTCTTAGAGATCTACAAAGAGACTTAACCACTCAATGATAGTGGGAGACTTCAACACTCCACTGACATTATTAGATAGATCACTGAGGAAGGAAACTAACAAAGATATTTGGGACCTGAACTCAATACTTGAGCAATTGGACCTAATAGATATCTACAGAACTCTCCAAACAAAAACAACAGAACATACATTCTTTTCATCTGCACATGGCACATAATGTAAAATCAACCACACAATTGGGCATAAAACAATCCTCAGCAAATTTTTTAAAAATGAAACTATACCAACAATACTCGCAGAACACAGTGCCATAAAAGTAGAAATTATTGCTAAGAAAATCATCCAGAAGCAGACAATTACATGAAAATTAAACAACTTTCCCCTGAATAAATTCTGGGTAAATAATGAAATTAAGGCAGAAATCAAGAAATTATTTGAAACTAATGAGAAAAAAGATGCAACATACCAGAAACTCTGGGACACAGCCAAAGCAGTGGTAACAGTGAAGATCATAGCACTAAATACCCACATCAAAAAGTTAGAATCATCTCAAATTAACAATTTATCATTGCAATGAGAGTAAGTAGAGTAATGAGAGAAAGCAAATCTCAAGGCTAGAAGAAGACAACAAATAACTAAAATAGTAGCTGAACCAAAGGAAAAGGAGAAGCAAAAACCATACTAAAGATCAGTGAATCCAGGAGCTAGTTCTTTGAAAAAACTAATAAATAGATGTCCTGTCTTCATATTTGGATGCCTTTTATTGTTTTCTTTTGCCTGATTGCTATGGGTGAGACTTCCATTACTATATTGAATAAAAGTGGTGAGAGAGGGTATTCTTATCTTTTTCTGGTTTTCAAGAGGAATGCTTCCAGCTTTTTCCCATTCAGTATGAAGGGTTTTTCATAGATGTGGGTTTTTTCATAGATAACTATTATTATTTTGAGGTATGTTCTTTCAATAGCTAGTTTGTTGAGGATTTTTAGCTTGAAAACATGTTGAATTTTATTAAAGCCTTTCTGCCTGTATTGAGATAATCATGTGTTTTTGTCTTTAGTTGTGTTTATGTGATCAATCACATCTATTGGTTTGTATATGTTAAACCAACCTTGCATCCCAGGGATAAAGCCTACTTGATCATGGTGGATTAGCTTGTTGATGTACTTCTGGTTTCAGTTTGCTTTGCTGTATTTTGTATTTTTGTATCTATGTTCATTAATAATATTGGACTGCAGTTTTCTTTTCTTTGTGTGTGTCTCTGCCAGGGTTTGGTATCAGGATGATGATGTCCTGATAGAATGAGTTAGAGAGGAGTCCCTCCTTCTTAATTTTTTGGAATAGTTTCAGTAGACATAATAGCAGCTCTTCCTTATACATCTGGTAGCAATAAGCTGTGAAACCATCTGGTCCTGGGCCTTTTCTGTTTGCTAGATTTTGTATTTCTGATTCAGTTTCAGAACTTCTTTTTGGTCATTTCAGGGATTCAATCTCCTCCTACTTCAGTCTTGGAAGAGTCTATATGTCAATGTATTTATCCATTTGTTCTAGGTTCTCCAGGTTTTGTGCATAGGGGTGTTCATAATAGTGTCTCTTTTTTTTGTATCTCAATGGGGTAAGTGGTAATGTCACCTTTGTTCTCACTTACAAGTGGGAGCTAAACTTTGAGTACATATGGACACAAAGAATGAAACAATAGACACTAGGGCCTGCTTGAGGATGAAGGACAGGAGGAGGATGAGGATTAAAAAACTGCTTATTGGCTACTATGTTTATTGCCTGGGCGACAAAATAATCTGTATACCAAAGCCCTGTGACATGTATTTACCTGTATAACAAAACTGCATATGTATCTCTGAACCTAAAATAAACATTAAAATTAAAGACCTGAGATATAATCTTCTATATTATTTCAGCTCTTCAGTGACATAATCTGGAATACATCTCAGTTTCCTGATAGCCAGGGAATCTTGGTTCTATTTTACACTGACAGTATATGTTTCTAATACCAAAATAACTATTGTCTGTTTATTGCTTTACCAACATTAAAAAGGAAAATGATATTATTTCATTTATTGAGGGCTAATAGTATATTTTAACATCTGATAAGGCTAGTTCACTGTCATTGCTCTTATTTCAATGCTTTTCTTTATAACTTGCTGTTAATACATAAAATTCATACTAAATGCTTCTGTATGGACTTGTAAAGTGAGAAAATTTCTTATATATATATATATACACACACATACACAAACACTGTCATTATAATACCAAGTTAAAAATAATTTCTAAGTAGTTTTTAAATATCTAGTCCATATTGAAATGTCCTAGATTACACTCCAGTATTCAGAATCTACATATCGCATTTTGCTTAAGTCTCTTTAAATCTTGAAGAATTCCTCTGACCACACCCACACCCACACATTCACAAAGAATATTTTTTCATGACACAATCTAGTGTAGAGAAGGGGGTCAGTCGTTCTTTAGAATATTTTGCATTCTGTACTTGCCTTCTTTTTTCTAACTGTCCTTGTATATTTATTTTATATATCAGCTTGTATAGATAAAAATTTCTGCTTCCATCCATGATGGAGTAACAAGAACTGGATTCATTAACCGACCTTGAAACAATGAATAACTTTTACTAAATATATGAAACAACAGATTTCTGATGTTGACCCACAAGCAGCACAGAACAGTAATCCTTGAGACGGGAGACACAAAGTGAGCCCTAGATTTGCTCCAGCTTATTTCCTGGAGTGAATTTCCAGGTCGAATATAGCTCTGGATAGGGGTATGCATACAGAGTCTAGCAGTATGTCTGAGTTGAGAAGACAGTATTAAAAGTTTGGGCGGTGGGAGCAAGATGACTAGAATTTGTGGAGCAGAATACCTTAGAGTACAGACCACACACATAGAAAGATAGACAGAGAGAGACATTTTTGAGGGACATTCAGAAGGACATTTTTGAGTCTTTGGCTCAGTTCAGATCAGTGTAGATATGTACCTTTTACTGCAAGTAAAAGATACCTGGAAAACCCCCAAACAAAATAAGAGGACATATCTGTAAATAATAACACCGGTCAGAGACAAAATCAAAAACAAAAATAGAAAGTATTTGGGATGGAATGAAATTTAAAAAGAGACAAAATTCTTGGAGTGCAGTTAATATAGTGCCTAAGGAAACTTATAGTATTAAACACTTCAGGTAGTACAGAAGAAGATGGGTGTCACATCAGTGACCTAAGTATCCTTCTTAAGATGTTAGGGTCAAAAAAGCCAATTTAAACTAAAATAACTAGGAGAAAGGAAATGATGACAAAAGCAGAAATAAATAGGATATAAAATGGAAAAATAAAAACAGAAGATCAATGACATAGAAAGCTTTCTTTGAGGATATCAACAAATTTAGTAAACCTTTAGCCAGATTGATCAGGGTAAAGGAGTGAAGATATGTTACTGATACCAAGTTGAGAGAGGGAACAACACTAAAGTTCCCATAGACTTAAAAAGGATAAAAATAGCAATTTATAAACAAATTTATACCAACACTTTGAAAACTTAGATTAAATAAAGTTCCTGAAAGACATAATCTACAAAAATCTCACTCAAGAAGAAATAGGTACCCCAAAAAGCCCTAGATCTAGATTCTTCTAATAAGAATTGAATTTGAGTCAAAAATTTCCACACTGAAAACTTCCAGCCAAATACCTTGACTGATCAATTTCACCAAACACTAGAGGAAGAGATAATAGCAATTTTATACAAACTGTTCCTGCAAATTCAAAGGTAAGAACATTTCCCAATTCTTTCTATGCAGCCATTATTACCATGAAAACAGAAACAATGACATTACAAAAAAAGAATGCTACTGACCAACATCCCTTATAAATATAGACCCAAAACTTCTTAACAAAACTTAGCACATCAAATCTAGTATTAAATGAAAAGAATATGCATTTTGATCAAAGGAAGTTGATGTGAAAAATGAAAGACTGGTTCAATACTAAAAAAATTATGCAATCCACCATATTTGCAGTCTAAATAAGAAAAGCATCATGATCATATTAATGGATACAGAAAAAAAATTTATAAAATGTAGCACATCTTCCTGATAGTAAATACTCTCAGTAAACTAGTGATAGGAACTTCCTTAAATTGATAAATTTATCTATAAAATATCTGTACTAACATAATATTTAATGATGAAAGAATGCACTCTTTTTCAGTAAGGATGAGGTATGAGGTAAGAATGTCTATTCCCCCAGTTTTTATTCCAAACTGCATTGAAGGTCTTACCAAGTGCAAAAAGTTAAGAAAATAAAATACACATATTTGAAAAAAGAAAGTAAAACTGTCTTTATTTTCAGATAACATGATTATCCATATATAAAACCTAAGAAATCTATAAAAAGTATAAAAAGTTAGTGAATTTAGGAAGGGTGCAAGATATAAGATCAATATATAAAAATTAACAGAAAAGTAAAACTTATATTTCCATATAGTAGCAACAAACAGGCAGAAATGGGAATTTAAAGAGAATTCTATTTAAAATAGCTTCAAAAATACAAAAATTTTTGAGAAAAATTTGACAATATGTTAAATACCTTTACATTAAAACTATAATATATTGCTAAGAGAAATTTAAGAGATTATAAATAAATGGTGAGATGTATCAAGTTCTTGCATTGTAAGTTTTACCGTTGTTGAGCTATCAATCTCCCTAAATCAGTTCATAGTTTCAATGTAATCCTAACTAAAATCCCTGCAGGCTGTTGTTTGGGGAGGATGGCAGTACTTGCTAACTAGATTCTAAAATGTATATGGAAACACAAAGGATCTAGAATAGGCAAAAACGTTTGAAAAAGAAGAAAAAAGAGCACTTACACTATCTGACTTCCAAACTTATTATAAAGCTAGTATAATATGGATATTGTGGTTTTGCTTTAAAAAATGGCACTAAAGGCAAATATCAATGTCAGTGTGACATAATAGAGATTCCAGAAGTAAACCCAAACATATTAATAATAATACTTAATAAATGATCAACTGATTTTTCACAAGCATATTGAGGCAATTCAGTGGGGAAAATACCATTTTAACAAATTTTTGCAGGAAATATTGAATAACCACATGAAAAACAAAACCTCAACACATATTTTATTTCATATTTTTAAAAACCTCTCAAAATAGATCATAGATTTACTTGTATGTAAGAGCTAAAGGTATAAAACTCCCAGATAAACGTATGGGAGGAGTTGGCAAAGATTTATTAGCTACAATACCCAAAGCACAATCCAAAGTAAATTGGACTTCATAAAATTAAAATATTTTCCTTTTCAAAATGCTCAAAATGAGAATGAAATTGTCAGCCACAGACTGGGGAGAAGATGTTTGCAAAACTTATATCTGACAAATGACTGCTCTGTAAACTGTATTAGGAATTTCTATAACTTAATAAGAACACACAAAAATGGGCAGAAGATCAGAAGAGATTCCTTACTAAAGAAGTGATAACAAATAAGCACATGAAAAAATGCTCAACATCATTAGACATTTCAGGAAGTGCAAATGTAAATAACTTTGAAACGTCATTGCACACTCTCAAGAATGGTCAAAATTCCAAAGACTAATCATCTGTAGCAAGTGCTGTTCAGGATGTGAAATGGCTGGTACTCTCATACACTGTTGTAGATATGTAGAATGAATTGAAAATCTGTTTATCAATCTCTTAAAAAGTTAAACATATATCCACCATGCAATCCAGCCATTACTTTCATAGTTATTACCCAAGAGAAATGAAAGTGTATGTTTACACCAAAAAGTTACACAGAAATGTGAATAGCAGCTCTATTTGTAGTAGCCAATAACTGGAAGTAATTAATATGTCTATCAATAGGTTAACAGATAAACAAATTATGATATACCCACACAATGGAATACTACTCAGCATTGAAAATGGATGACCTATTGATAGATTTTACAAGTATGAATCTCAAAATAATTATGATAAAGTTAGACAAAAATAGTATAAACTGTATGACTCCATTTATTTAAAACTCTAAAATATGCAAAAAATACAAAAACAAATAAAAATAAATGGCTTTCTGGGATTGGGGACTAGAAGAGATGAATTGCAAGTGAATACAAAGACACTTTTGGAAAAAAGCGTATCTTGATGGTAGTGATGGTTTCATATGTATATGTATTTCAGAATTCATCCAATTGAGCAATTAAAATATTTGTAGTTTACTTCCCCTCAATTATAGTTTAATAATGTTGAAAAAATCAGCTTGTATGATTTCAGAAGACACGTCTTTTGTTATTGTATTTGGAATTACAACACTAATAAATTAATTGAGGTAAAACCGACATCTTTAGGATATTAAGTATCCCTATCCCTAAGTATCTTACATATCTCTTTTGTTGTTAATATTAAAGTATATTTTATGTTTATCTCTCTATATCTGCAATTTGTGGCTATAAGTTTTATGTTCTTCTATATCACTTAATTCTCTTATTGTAATATTTCTTTCTCTTGATTTTCCCTTGTCAAATGCCATATCATCTGCAAATAGTGGTATTCTTAATTCCTCCTGTACAATTATTATAATTCTAATTCATTTATCTTGTCTAATTGGTCTGGTTGATTACTCCACTGCAGTGTTGTAAGAGTGACAATAATGATTTTCTTTGCTCTTCTCTACCTTAGCGGGAAATAACTCTGGCACCATTCTGGCTTTTGAGCCAATACATGCAAACAGATGTATGTATATGAGTTATATGTGAGTTATACATGAGATATGAGTTATTTAATTTTATTTGTGTATTCCTGGTTTTTTAAACCAAGAATTATAATTGACCTTTAGAAAATTACTTTTGACTTCTTTGAGGGGAAAATATAATTTTCTCTTTAGATCTAATAAAAGATGAGTTGTGTTAATATATTTCTATATATTTACACATCCTTAAAGGTCTGAAATAAATCCTGCTTGCTCTCAATGGATTATTTCTTTAATGTTTTGCTGTACTCATTTTTTTCCAACACTTTAGTATTTTTGCAAAGAACTCATAAAAAGAAAACAAGTAAATAATTCTTAATACAGTTACATAACTCATTTAACTATATATGTGTGTATATATGTTAGTTCAAAAGCCAGGATTATGTCAGTTATTCCCACTCAGGTAGATAAGAGCAAGGAAGATCATTACATAGTTCGAGACATCACTATATAGTTTGTGTGTGTTTATGTGAGTGTGCATAATCATTAAGCATATTTAATAGTTGCCATTGTTTTTTTCCTACACTCTATATAATTTTAAATAACGTTTAAAACTATCTGCTTGTCAAAATTTAGTAGAATTCTTTTGGAAAATTATTTGGATGTTTTTGTTTCTTATATTTTCCAGGAAATTTTCTGTACAAAGTAGTCCCAAAATTTAAAAAAAAAAAAGTCTTCTGTGTCTATAGTTATTTTCCCCTTGCCATTTCTTATTTTATGCATATATACTATTTTCTTTTTGTCTTGAATTATTTTTGCTGAGATGTTCTCTCTTCACTTTTGGGGGGCCTGAAATTAAATTGTTAACAGTTTCTTTAAGAAAAGTCCATAGGAACCAAATTTATTGACCTTATGCATGCTGAAAACTAACTGCCTACATTATTTATGTTTGAATAAGAAGTAAATATAAAATGCTTCATTAAGAGTCTATATCTTGAGTATCTTGAAGTTATATTACACTTTCTTCTGTTATGAAATGTTACTATAAAAAGATTAATATCACTCAAATTATTTTTCCATTAGAAGATTTGATTTTCATTTTTAGGTAGGTGTTCTAGTCTGCTGTGTTGTTTTATTCTTCAAGGGCTCCAATTGTATCTACATTGGATCTGCTTTAATTTTCTTCAATATTGCATAGGTGAGGGGCCAGAAAACATGTTCTGTAAAGGGCCAGATACTAAATAAAGGGCCAGATACTAAATCAGGTTTTCCAGGCAACATATGGTCTTTGTCACCTGTACTTTTTTTTTTAATTAAAAAACACATTGAAAATTATAAATAAAAGTTATTTAGATATAAGACCATACAAAGAGAGGCTGCAAGCTGAATTTAGCCCACAAGGTATACTTTGCTCACTCCTGATAGAAATAATTTTTTTCCTATCTTTTCCTTCTTTCTCTTTTTGCTTCAGTTTCTCAAGTTTATCCACTATGACCCTTACTGTGCTTTCTTTGATTCCAGCCTCCCTTGTTAACTTTATGAGTTAATCTTTATTCCTAAATATTTTTCCTCCATACCTTTTTTGAGTTTACAGTTTCTGATTTCACCCCTTTAGTTGGCCATTTTCTCCTTTTGTTTGTTCATTTTCTTCTTGACTTCTTGTATTTTGGCTCTGTGTGTGTGTGTGTGTGTGTGTGTGTGTGTGTGTGTTTATAGCTGCAATTGCATTATGAAGGTTTTGTTTTGTTTGTTTGTTTTTCCTGCCAGCACTTTTATTTGCTTTCTGGCAACATTTGACTGATGAGTTCGTTTAACTGTGGAAAATTTTCACTATTTATCTTTATATGTAATAACAATGTTTGGTACAATTTTTTTCCCTGTTATTTGATTGGAATGAGTTAGATTTTTCCTAAAACACTGCTCATGGTAGATTTGCGTGTTGGACTGTCCAGGGTAATTTTCACGATTTTGCATCCTGATCTTTTCTTCTTCTTTTGGAAGAAAAATAGGTTGTTTAATTAAAATATGACCCTGGTCTATAGCCAGGTCTCTTCTCCTACCACCATCCCCAGGACTCCTAGATCTATTCTCTTTGTCAACAATATTGCCTTCCACAGTTGTCCGTATACTTTTAGACATGTGGAGATCTGCCATTTGTTATACCCCTGTGCAATTTCTGAGTCTTGTATCTCTGCCTCGGCACAGTACAAGGTTTTATATTTTTAATTTGAGCCCTGTTTAATTTGGCTCACTTTTCTTATGCCTATCCTTTTTTTTCCCTTCCTGTGTATTTTCTTCATCCTTTCCTCTTCAAGGTGGGGACTTCTACTTCTGAAAATCTATCTTTGCTTATATTTCTGAGTTTTACTGTTGTTACCACCCCTCCAAACATCTTATTTTTCCCTCCTATCCTTTACTTGCCACACACCATTGCAACTTCTTGTGCTTTGCTTTATTTCATTTGATTGCATTTTGAAGTAATTAAATATAATGTAAAGCTTACAGGGTATCTATCTCTACTAGCTTCAGTAAAAGAAAGTAGTGTTATAAATTTTATATCCACATTGCCCGTATTGTATAGTGCTCAGTAGAAGTGGGAATTTTAAGAACAAGATGCCACTATATTTTTACCCAAACTGGTAGCCTTTTTTAATTTGAATGTAAAGAAAATCTCTATTATGTTCATTTGGCTCAGATACTTCTGGTAAGCAAGGCCTTAATAACTTCTACTTCTGTAATTGCAAATGTCCTACTTATTTTTTAGCATAGCATTTTAGTAACTACTATTTGGTATTCCCATATAAATAGTCTTCTTTCACATTACCTAAAATAATCAGTTTTTAGACACCACAAATTATATGAAAGGTAAGAAATGCGATGGATCATTCAGTTATTCTGTAAATGGTTTAGCTCTTGTTTGTAAACTATAAAACATTCAGTTCAATAAAATATAAATTCAGATTACTGCCAGACAATGGAGACTAGTGCTATAATTGTTAATATAGAAATTCACACACTAAAGAGTACCAAATGTTGAGGCTACCACTTTCTTATTTCAAAACCCTTTACTCTAAATTAAAGTAGGAAAATACTTTATAAATCTGTATGGGAGAAAAATAGTTTTTTATTCTAGTCAACTGTGACGGCTTATCTAAACACACACTTGTGAGTCTACCACTTATTTTAACCAGCAATCTTCTCTAACATGTTAATCTAATCACACACTTTCTCCTGCAATGAGGCAAAGTGTGACATATCTATGCAACTCTCTGGTCTTTCTGTCTTTTCAAATGTATTTGTCCTCTAAAATAAGTCAAACTATGCCATATCTTGCTTTAAATCCTTCAGTGGCCTCCCATGGCAATAAACCTAAAATCAAAACTCTTTACAATGTCTTATAAAGACTTACGTGATACATTGACCTTCCTGCTGCCTACAACTTTAGTTTTAGTTCCAAGATCTATTGCCTTCGCTATGCTCCATCCACACTGTCATTCATTGTGTTCTTCCAGTATATCATGCTCATTTGTGCTTCAGAAAACTTGAATGTGCTGATCCGTGTCTGAAAAGATCTTTGTCCATCCAGATATTTCTGTGCCTGTCTTCTTGTACTCAGTGGGATTCAGTTCAAATATAACCTCGAAAGAGTCTTTTGTTTGCAGCCTTATGTAACAGTGACCTGTCCTACTACTCCCCACATACCCTTTAATTTTCTATTTTTTATGTCACTTATTTCTATGTGTTGGTTCCCAAAGAATAGAGATAGGTCTTCATCATTTCTCTGTTCCCAGAACCTAGAATATTTGGCACATGGTTGTTGTGTAATAAATGTGAATTGAATTGATACATCTAATTTTAATACCTCTCTATGTGCAAACCTCTTTTTATGGGTACAAACATTTGTTTGTGTGTTTTATATAGTTTTCATTTGGGGGCCAATGTGTACTCAGAAATTTTACCGATGCAAAAGGGAATTACTTAGGTTCATTTCTGAAATACATACCTACAGAATATAACTTTTGAATTTCCAAGAAAGGAGGAATTACAAACAGTATCCCACTTTGCTCTATCAAAATTATGAAATTTCCCTGAATTCATCACTGTACTGGAAGAGTAGCATTATATGTGTGTATATATGATGTTTATGTATAGTTATATACTGTATAAATATATATGTATTTTGTGTATATATATATATATATATATTATTCATTATAGTAAATCATATAACTTTGCGATATTCTTACCAGGTAGCAAGGTCACATCTGACATAAATAGGAACTTTGAGCTAACCGCATGGCACATTTAATAAAATGAATTTCCACACTCTAGTGTATTTTTGGACTCCAGCAAAGATGACAGTGATACACTCATAAATAATTTGGTGGATTTGGTTAGTTTGCTTTTTATCCCATTCATGCTCTACTTCAAAGTTTATCTACATAATATCAACGGACTTGGCATGACAGTTTCTGAAAATTAACTTTCTGTTCTTTTTCAAAGCAACTCTTGCTAAGTTCATTTAAATGAAAGTCAATTTTAATAGAGCAAAGTTATGTTCTCAGGACATAACTGTAAGAGACCAATTATAAATGTCTGTTGAATTTTACTGATTCTGAAGATCACACACCTAAACAAAAATACATATTTATTTATTACAAATGAGGGCAAAGTGTAGGGTGGGGGTGTGGAATTTGTGGATGGAACTTCCAGGAGTTCTTTTAAAGGAGAGTCCCACTACTTTCTGAAATTATATTTAAAAATAAAATAAAATTTATACTCATTCTGAATTTCAATAAATTAGATTTAAAATAATATAAATGTAGACTTGGATCTTTTTTTTTAATTACATAGGTATGATTAAGAAGAAATAAATGCAAGCAGAGAACAGAAAATTATATTTTTCAAATAGAATCCAACCTCTTCTATTTGCTTTTGCTTTATGTTCAAGTTCCTTCTTAGTTTTATTTTCAAGAAGGAAAGTATATAATAATATAACAATTATCATAAAATCAGGTAAGTTCTCATTTGAATATAACCTTAGAGGGTAAAATAAAGATAGGGATATTAACATTGAATTCATTTTGATCAGCACTAGAGGATGAGATTGGAGTTATAATGCGTACATGATCTGATATGCTAATTTGAAGACACTATGGTTAATTCCTACATTGTCAGCATATATGATAGATTGCAGTGATCATTTCCTTTATTTACACTTCCATACATCCACATCCATTGCCATGCGATTTTGCAGTTCCTCTGAAAACAGAGACAGTGCCTATTTTCCATACCTTGAATTCAGCAGGCTTTGTAACATCATTTGGTCCATAATTACAATCCTAGCATAGAAACAAACTCTGTATTTTTACTTGCCCATTATTGATCTCTGCTGTGACCATGATAAAATGGCAACGATGATGAAAGACATAAAGAACAGTTGTATGCTGTCCCTGTTGTCTGAGACAAGGCCATTCTAGATAAGCCAACAGTCACCCCCCAGACAGGTGAATGAGTCAATCTGCTATCAACAGAACTCCATAACTACCTAGCAGCTGTTCGCAGACTCCTGAATGAGCCAAACTGGCATAAGCTGGGCCCAACTGAAATCAGTTGAACCCTGAGTTCAAGAAAAGTTATGTGTTGTACACCACTGAGACTTTTGTAGTTATTTGCTACACAGCTATATTTTTAAACTTTCAATTTGAAATGATTATAAATTTCAAATTTATAAAAGAATGCTAAAGGTGGTGCGGACATCCCCTACACTCTTCAGTATACTTCTCTTAATGTTAGTATCTCAAACAACCATGTTACATTGACCAAAACTAAGAACTTAGCATTGTCCCAAGATTTTATTCAATTTTTCCACAATATTCTTTTTCTGTTCAGGGCCAATTCAAGATACCACGTTGCATTTATTGTCATTTATTGTTGTTTATTTAGCAGGTTTCCTCTTAGATGCAGTTAACTGCACAAATGATAAATACTTGTCTTACACGGATTCAGTTTTCTCTCAATAATTTAGGATAAAGCAGTGCTTCTCAAACTTTATTGTTTTTGTAAATTAACTGCGAATCTTGTTAAAATGCAGATTCCGATTCAGTAAATGTGGTGGGACCAGGGACTCTTATTTTCTAGCAAGTCTCAGGTGATGATAATATTGTTGGTTTGTGACCATACTTAGAGCAGCAAGGACCTAAGATACAATAACTACAATTAGGTAGCCTGAATGCTAACTCCACAGAGAGTGACAGACTTAGCTTTCTAGCAAATCGATCATGTAGGCAATGATTTGAGATGGAGATGGAGCTTCCTGGATGATACTCAAGGTCCTAGAACCAGCTCTTAGAAATAAATCACTACATCTAGTTCCTGCTCTCTTCCTGGCCTAAATTTAAATCAATCATAATCCTACCTTATTTATATAATTATTGATGAAATCTGTTTTCTTCCCCCTAAACATCCTGATTTAGGTTCTTATAAGAATAATATCTCCTGCCAACTGTATGGAGAAAAAGTAAAGAAAAAGAAGAGGAAACAGCTTTGGGAACATATAGACCTAAAATATAAATGGATCTTTCTTTAAAATTCATTATAATTTCTGTTAACGAGGCCCACCTTTCTTCAGGAATTCAAAACACTTCATATAATAAAAGAGGTTTCTCCTAAATCAAATTGTATGTTTATAATTCAAACACAAATTTTAACATAAAATAAAAAGGGAGCTTCATGTAAAAAAATTTAAAAGACGATTAGAAGTTATAAAACCAGCCCATTGTGTTTTTCATTACACTAATATATTCTATTAAATTAATGTGTGGCTGTGTGGTAGAGCTGAAATCATAGCTACAGTTAGCCTCTGAGATAAAAGAACAGAGCAGATGATCCCTCAAAATCTCATCTGCTACAGTAATGCAAAAGAAACTGGGTGGACATTGCAATAAGTTAGGTAGACTTTGCTTCTGTACTTTCTAAGTGGGGCCACAAAACAGGGGGCTATCTCAAGTACCTCATCTCTTCTCTGAGCTCTACAATAATGTTACTGAGTAGAGGGATCACTTCTGTCACCCCTCCTGCTCTGAAACTCCATGACAATTAATATATGTACTGTAAGTTGAATTTAATTAATTAATTCACTCAACAAGCACCTATACCTCTATGGCTTAAATGCATGAATCAATCTGACAACCCCTTTAAATATTTGGAAAGCATCATTTACTCTCTAAGCAGTTTGGACACTTATAATGGCTTCACATTCTCTCCTGTGGTGCTAAACAAAGCAAATATATCTACAGACTATTCCAAGCTAACAAAACTTCTTCCAGTTCTCTTTGAGGTAAGTTATATCATCAATAACCTTATATATAGGTTCTTGCATTTCTTGTACTAGCATGGGAAACATTCAGTATTTTATGTGTGTGTATAATGTTTTCAATATTATGCTTATTTTATAGTTTAAGAATTTTGGGGACTCTTTTTTCCGTATTTGTTTACCCAAGCATTTGGGATTAGGATACACTGTCAATATTGTTTGGCCTCATTCAGAGAGCTCAGGTGACAATTTCATGTGACTTCTAAATGGTCAATTGGTCATTGATATGCTTATACCCGTTTGATTTTTTATTACATTTGTCTGTATGATCTGCAGAATAAAGCCTTGAGCTATTCTTTTTTTCCCAATTTTGCCCTATATAAGCCTGGACAATTTGAATAAATGTGATTCACTAACTAAGTCTACCTAGAATGAGTTACATTTCTTTTCTTATCAAATCTTGATCATGATTCATGTTGAACTCACTATTAATAACATGTCTGGGGATGCAAATGTTAAGTTGATATGCCATATAAACTCATCTCTCAGCCACAGGGTCACGTTGACATAAATAAATGTAGCAGCTGCATTGTTAGAAGTCAGGGCTCCAACACGGAAAGGTAATAGAAGCTGTTTAAAATGAGGTCATGAAATATCAATTTAAAATGCTCTCTGTCAGATAGGTGACACTGTTTCTTCTTTCTGTCAGAGGGAAGCATTTTGATAATATTCTCCATTTTCCATGTATGTTTTTCAAATCTGAGAGTCAGCATCAAAGACTCATAAGGCATTTTCCTTAGATTTAATAATTTCACTCCTCAGCCCTTTGAAAAATGACAGCAGCCAACTTTCATTGTGAGCACTTATTCCAAAACATATTTTTATCTGATTGGATCATGTTTTTGAATAAATAAGGCATTTTACATATTAATTCCATAAAGCACAAAGCTTAATTTTTCTCCAGCAAGCTAAGGTCATAGTCTAAGACTCACCATGATTTCCTGGAGATACAGTTGAGAATTGCCTGGACAATCAAGCAAATTACACTCTGAGGGTAGCTTTTGCACTGTTGATTATTACTAAGTCACCAAATGCATTCCTGTCTCTTCAGAACTGCAGAGCTTCTGCACCTGGACAATATAGTAGCTATGGCAGGTCTGATCTGATCAGAAGAAATGTCAGCAGTAAACAATACTTACTTATTATCTTGGCTTCACTAAAGAAGCCTTCTTAGAAATGGCTTAGTATAGTCTAGCTGGTTAGTTTGAAAGGGTCAAAGAAGACTAAGAAGAACCTACGAAGACCCAACCACATAGTGAAAGTAATAATAGAAGTGGAGAGGCTTTGTCTTGGAAGCCCAGAGGCTTTTCCCCACTACTTAGCTCCCCTATTTTTTTTTTGCATCATTTTGTGCTTGGAGATCTTCTCCTCGTGGTTGTATGAAATATGGTTAAGTTTGGGAGTTTGGAGAGAGACAGTTTGGGATCAAATTCTGACTCTATTGCTTACCAGCTATGTACTCTGGGCAAGTTCATTACCTTTCTGCTTTAGTTGATTCTTCAGTACAGTAAACTAACTGAATCATAGGATTTTCTGATGATTAAACAAATCAGTTCATTTGAGGGCTGTCAGATACCAGGCGTGCAATGAATTTGTTAGCGATTTCTATGATTATATCCATCTTTTACAAATTACTATATCAACTTATGCTAAATTTCTGAGGGATATATGGATATTAAATATTATCTCTAATAATTAATTTGATGTTTCTTCAAGCATCAAGAAGTTGGAAGTGGGGGTGTTTTAGAGAGAGCTACCTTTTTTGGTGCCCATGAGTTTTCAGCTCCATACTATGTGACATACACTTAATGAGGTGATATAACTATATATTAATATTTCATACAATTCTCACAGTATCCAGATGAATAAAAAAAGTGACTCTTGCATATTTTCAGAGAAAGCATTGCCTCCATTAAATTTAGGCCACAATTACCGGGGAAGATCCTTCACATAAGCATTTGAATTGGTTAGCATGAATACATATTTATATTTCCCTTAGTGATTCTCCCCATGATTACCATTTATGCATTCTTTAGAGTTATCCCTCCCACTTCTCACTTTGTAACTGACTTCCTGCTGTTCTTAATTCAGGAGTGTTTAAGTCTCATATTTAAATGGTAAAACATTTGTTTGTGACAAACACCATGTGTCCGGAATTCTCCTACCTGTCTCGGAGAGGCTTTGCAGGACCTGACAAGTGGCATGTCTGCACATGGGTGGTTCTGGCATGATCATTCATAATGATCCTCAAAGGGAGGATGAGCAATTTACATATCAAAGGTCCTATGTTAGGAATGTATATTAAGTAGGAAGCTCACAATATTAACTTTTAGATCAGGAAACTTCTTTAGGGACTACATCTCAGTGTTAAAGGCATATCTAGTAAAGACAACTTAAGTAATTGTTTTGTTTCACAGTGTCACCTCTTGTATTTGAAGATGATACTGCTGACTCAGATTCCTATCCAATTTAATCCTCATTACAACGATGAGTCAAGTATGAGGGTCCACATGTTATTACAGCTCATGTCCTGTCCACGAGGCCATATTGTCTGGTGCCCTAGTATCCCAAATTGCCATTTAATTTAATTTACATTTCATTTAAGAACTAATATTAACTTATAATTAAATCAATTATACTAAAACAAATATAATAAATACTAAAACTCATCACATCATAATGTAGTAGTTATCCTACTACCTTATTCTACATATCCTATATGATCAAGGTGATTTCTGTCTCTCTTACGTGTTTGGTGGAAATGTATAATAGGGTGCTATTATGTACCTCCTCCAAACTCCAGTCAGGTTAATAACTTGAAATTGGCCATTGTGAACATCATCACATCACAGGAATCTGCAAATGCTGCATATTGAGCCTTGATTTATTGTTTTATTCATTGTCTAGATCAGAAGTTGGCAAAATTTTCTATACCTATGTATCAATAAAACCATTTTTTTTTTTTTTACCAAAACAGGAGGCTGCCTATGTGGCCCATGAGTTAAGGTTTGCCAACTTCTAGTCTAAACTTCAGAAAGTGATGTTGAACTCTTGATAATGCATTTAAAATTAAAAGTGTGTTTTGTTTTTTATCTGTTACATTTTGAATAGTACAAACATTCAGAAATTATTGCAGGATTTAAAAACTATTTGCTATTCATCTTTATAGCAAAAAAGTCACTCATCACTGACAAATGAGTGATGTTCTGACATATATATTTTTTGTTTCACTTTTATGTTACTTGTTGATGTAAATGAAAATATCATCCAACGTTTAGGCTGGCACTACACTTGTTTGTCAATTGCATTAGTAAATTGGCTACGGACAGAAGAATTTGGCAAAAATCAACCAAAATTCTAAGAGAATGAACTAGTTATGTGGACTTGTATAACATATTATTTAATTGTATCATTGTTTATAAATTGTGTGCTACATATCCTTTATATCAGTAAAGGATTTCATGTACATGTATATATACATGGATACTTTTTTTTTCTCTGAAGAGCCTGTTGTTAAACATTTATCAGTTCATTATTTAGGAAAAAAGGAATCACGTGTGGGAGAAACTGAAAGTATCCATGGAAAGGGAGGAAGGTGGGCCAACCTCTGGAGCCCTCAGAAGGAAAGGAAAAGAGTACTTAGGAGAACATGGGTCTGGCTATTGCTTGGACAAGGACTTGGGATTTCTCTGGATTAAGGTGGGGGTGTTAAACAAAAAATTATTCATGACACTCTTTAAAGATGATAAGAAAGACTTATTCAAGAAGAGAGCAACTACAATGGAAGTTTTGTAGCAGAGGAAAAGATGCTACTCAACTCTTAATATAAGGATAAGTGGTAAGTTTATAGCCAAGAAACGGTGGGAGTCAGTGGGTGGAAAATTGCTAAGGGGAAACATCAAAGCTAGGAGCATTCTTGCTGAAGTCAGTGCAGAGTGGTAAGATATCAAGGGTGGGGAATGAGGAAGTTAATTGGATATAGTGGGCGATCACATACTAAGGGTGGGGGATTTTTTTCTAAACTGAATTAAGTAAGATTCCTGCCAAAACTGGACTAAGCAAGCCAAAGACAAGAGCCCAACATTGATGACTAATTAAAAACAGGACTCGGAGGAGCCCAACTCAAGTTAGTTCAAGGAGAAAGTCTTTGTCAGGAGATGGGACAATTGTGCTCTTAACAGATCAAGGTGAAATTATTACTATAATGAGCACACCAAATGCAACACTGACCTTGAGGTAACTTGTATGTTGAGTACAAGTTGAGATCTGGATATGGGTACTTTATCACAGTTTTCAACTTAACTTCAATGGATAAAATACTCCAGACACCTAACAAACAACATACATTTTGGAGAAAACCTGTCATAAACTAATGTGGACTTCAAATAATTAAAGCATACTTTTTCTCATTTACAGCGTGCATTGGAGATTGCTCTTTTACTTTCTTTGTCATTAGTGTCTTCAGTGCTGGCTACTTCTTTAGGCCCCTATTTGTTAGAACATGAATTTCTTTCTATAGCTTCAATTAAAATGCAGTATGGCCATTTGTCAACATTGGTTATACAGTAGCTCTAGGCTATCTGCATGCTGGTGATCTACAATGCATTCCACCTGGAGGCAGATTTCATCTTGGGCCAGCTTTCTTGACTATGATCAATTTTCCATAATGATGTCCAGAATTGTGTGAGCTCAGGCAATGCTAATTTATGTTAGTATTATTTGAAGCCTGATTTTAGGAAATCATTCTGATTGCCTAAAGAAATGTTATCTATTCTCAAATAAAATATCAATGATTTTTCATCTTAAATGATTGCTGTTTGGATGACTTATCCTCCATCTTCCTTTCCTAACTCCCTCAAAGTTTGTTTCCATTATAAGGATTACTCAGAATTGTCTATGCTGCTATTCAACCACTCATCACAGTTGCTGGTGCTTTCCCAGTATCTGATTATCAATATTACTTTGATAAACAAAGCCTGTATATTGGTTCCTTTTCACAACTTGTGTAATTGCATCTCCAATTTCAGAATGAACCATTTGATATTCTCCCTGCACAAGTTTTCACCTTGTATGTTGTTGCTGGGAGGTGTCAATGGCAGCAGGCTAGCTCCTTGGGGACTTGGTAAGAGCAGTTTGAGAAGTGTAAATGGTATTTGTTTAGGATGAACAAAGGAAAGGGTGCTTTCTGCAGTGCTGTTTATAAGGAAAATAAAAATTTTCTGTAATAGAGATCTAGTTCAATAAATGACTACAAACAAATGGAACACTAGGAGTCATACAATAATTTTAGATAAAGTTTAAAAGGAAAAATAATGATATTTAGTGAAAAATGATGGAGTTAAAATTGTATGGATACACAGATTCTAATTTTGTATATATATATATATATTTATATGTGGTATATCAATAAAAAGATCAAAAAATGTTACATAATAATTATTTTGTGTGGTATGATTATGGGTAATTTCAATTTTCTTCCTCAGTCTTTTCTGTCATTTTCAATTTTCTATAATGCTTATGTCTTTCTTTTAATAATCAGAATTTAAAATATCATTATAAGGAAAAAATGTCAAAACCAAGTCACAATAATAACACCCCCTCTCCCATATATATATTTCATTTGCTGAAAATAAAAGGAAGTCTTCCTTAATTACTCAAATTTCTTCATGTACTTATATGAAACCATGGATTCTTTACAGTACAGTAAACCATTTGTTCTAAGTCTTGAGACACAAATAAAAAGGGGGAAAGAGTTAAAAATTATAAAATATTTACAAGGCAAATGCTGTTGGACTAATTTAGCCCTAACTATATTTGTCATAAAATATCTGGAAAATTGCGGGAATTTTTGTGATCAACATGAGGTATACTCACGCAATCTTAGCATTCTGACTAAAATCTGGAAAAGAACAGGGCCCCAGGCATCACCATTAAGAACCAAATCTGTGTTCATCAACTACTTTTCTCACATTGAAATCATTTGTGATTTTATTTTCATTTTTTTTCTCACATACATCTCAAAAGTAACTTTTAGGCTTAGCTATAGCTTTCCTGCCCAGGTTTTCTTTTTTCAAGGCCAAGTTTTTCATTTTGAACATTTTTTTTATCCTCATACTGTTCTTTTTTGGAGTTTTTTTGTTTTTATTTTGCTGGGGTATTCTTTATTAATTTGCTCACAAAAAGTCTAAGTAAATTATCCTAATCCTTAAGCATCTACAAATATGTTATTTTGTTCTTACACTTGAATACAAGAATTAAGTTTTATTTTCCAAAACTTTGAAGATGTGATTTTGTAGGTTTCTGTTGACTATATTACTGATAAAAGTTCTGATGCCAATTTGATTCTTATGAGCCAGTAGATAAATTTTTATTTTTTCTCCTGGGAAATTGTTGACTTTTTCTCTTCTATTTAATTTTCTGAAACTTCACAATGATGTGCCTTGGAGTTGGATTCTTTTGTACTAATCCTATATTCAATCATCAGACTTGGGTTTTTATTCAATTCTAGGAATTGAACTTATTACTTCTTTATTATTCCTTCTCTTCCATTTTGTCTGTATTTTCTGAAACTCATAATTGATGGGCCTTGAAAGTTCCGGCTGTAATCTCTTTGTGTTTCAGCTTTTCTCTCATATTTCTCTTTTTACAGGGTCTGCTTCTGCTTATTGAGGGGATGAGTGTTGCATGGGGCCCCATGTGTTCCTGGGATTCATTTTTCTTCCTAGTGTAAGAGCCCAAGGTCCCTCCAGAAGCTGTATATTACCTGTGGCCATTGCGCTACTTCTTTAGTTCCTAGTCTTTCTACCATGTCTGAACTTCTGCTTCAGAGAACAGTATTTGTAGCCTTAGAAGATACCAGTCTTTCTCTTCCTTCCATGTGTTTAGACATTGCTCTCGTCTTTCAGCGCCCGTACATACTGTGTGCCCCACGAGAACAGACTATCCCCAGGCTTTTAGGCAGTAGTTCCAGAGCATCAGTCAGGGGGCAGATACTTCTCTCATCTGCTCTGGAGGTTGATGAAGAGTGAGCCCAATGAACTCAGCTGTGCTGAATGTAATTCTTCACCTTGTTATTGGGACTTCTTCTTCATGGATTTGTGGACTCCAGGCCTGGAATTTCTCTCATACTTTATTGGGACTCCATTGTTTTAGATCTTATTTTTTCCCTCTGCTTTTTTTCTGTCAATCTTATCTCAATTGCTTTCTTTGAGGAATTTCTAAAGTTTTAGAGCTATGAATGACATTCGATCTTGTTTCACTATGATGTTACAGGATCTTTTTTTTTCATAGATTTTGATTCTCATTTTAAAGAAATTTTAAGCCAGGCGTCGTGGCTCACGCCTGTAATCCCAGCACTTTGGGAGGCCGAGGTGGGCTGATCACGAGGTCAGGAGATAGAGACCATCCTGGCTATCACGATGAAACCCCGTTTCTACTAAAAATATAAAAAATTAGCTGGGCGTGGTGCGGGCGCCTGTAGTCCCAGCTACTCGGGAGGCTGAGACAGGAGAATGGCGTGAACCCGGGACGGGGAGCTTGCAGTGAGCCGAGATCGCGCCGCTGCACTCTAGCCTGGTCGATGGAGCAAGACTCCGTCTCAAAAAAAAAAAAAAAACAAAAAACAAAAAACAAACAAACAAAAAACAACAACAACAACACAAAGAGAAATTTCAAGTTGGAAGGGGTATAAACATTTAAACATTTGGGCTCAGTTCAGTATTCAGACTCTAAAAATTCCAAGACAACTAACAGCATGTTCAGTGAGGTTTTCTTGCTTTACTGCCTATTCTAAAGACAGATACATAGTTGAAGATTTGCTCACAACACAATCATGGACAATTTCCAATCTCGCTCCCTGGAACTTCCTTCTCAGATCAAATACAAAGTTCAGCAGCTCTCCTGGGGTAAGCAGAGAAATATCCAAATTAAGTTAAATTTTATGTTATGGTCTGGAATCTGGCAATTCTTTTCCATAATATTTTACGCTTCATAGCTTACTTTACTCGCATATTTCCTCAATGGTAAAGTATTGCCAACTCTATTCTGTGGGTGAGTAATCTGAGACACAAAGTGACTAGACATCTTGCATTCATAAGAAGTAGGAGAGGACTATAATTAGAAGCCACTTATCCTAATCTACTAGGTCAGTCGCTCTTACTGCTTTTGTAGAGCAACACACGTGATAGATTAAGCTCACATATTCATCACATTCCTAAGGTTTTCTGAAGATTAAACACAACCTCCACTCTGACTTTATCATTTAAAGATCCTATTGGAGTGCATGCCAGGGTATGTTAATTTTTGGATGAATAGGAATTGCTGTATTTAAAAAAATCATAGTAAGCATTCATTGAGCACTCATTGTCAGGCAGGACTCTGGTGCCTTACCCATGTTACCAAGGCCATCTTCACAACTATCTAATCAGGTAGGAGGGTATTATTTTCATTTTTATTTTACAGATGAAGAAACTAAGGCCTGTGGGATAAATTTACCCAGCTGTCTGTTTTTGCTTTTGTTTTTTATTGCCATGAGCAAATAATATATTTTACATTTTAAAATTAATTACATTTTAAATGGTTACAGAGGTACCAACATAATATAATTGATTTTAATTTGGCCCCACAAAGGCTGAAACTTTTACTGTCTGGCCATTTAGAAACAAGTATTCCTACTCCAGTGAGTCTAACCATCAGGCTATTATTCACACACGCTTGTATTTTTATTACTGGTTACAATTAGCTGTGGCATAGCTGCTGCTTGTGGATTGAGATGTGTAGTTGAGAAGTGCTGTACTAAAACATATCATCAACTCTAGAGACTTAAAACAGGCTATCTATGGGTTTTATTGTTTCTCCTGTTCCTTTCCTCCTTTGCCATAAATAATCTCTGAATAGACTGTGTGTGTGTGTGTGTGTGTGTGTGTGTGTGTGTTTTAACTACTAAAATGAATTGATAAAATTTCTCACTCTGTCTTTAACTCATTTTAAATGTACCCAGTTTTTCCTAAGGGGACAGCAAAAGGATTGAACAGAGATGAGACAGAGGAAATCCGAAAAAAAAAAAAATCAGGAACTCCAATTCAGGAACACAGCCGTTGTTTCCAGAATCTATGTCAGCGGTTACTATGGTGTTAGTGAGGCCCTGGAGACGGAGTAGGACATGTACCTAGCCTAAAATCTGAAACTGGCCTGCTATGTGGGCATTTCTTGGCAGATAGGGAGAAGCATGCCAAATACCACATTACTAATCACAGAGGTGCTTGGTAAGCATTGAATTATGGCAACGGAGTGGGTTTATTACGAATATTGTAATCTGTGACATGTGCCACAGATACCATTTCCACAGAACTCTAATAGTTATTGGGCATGGCAGAGGCAGGGTACCTACACGATTAAATAAGTCTGAAAAATTTTTGGCTACAAAGAGTTAACTTTCCTAAGTCAGAAAGATTCCTGAAACCCATAAAATGTTGATTGCCATTATCAGTCCATAAGTGGAATACCTAGCATATGGTGTTTTCCAAAGTTACTAGATAATGAACTTTTTTTTTTTTTGCTTGATTTTTGGTTTTAATCAAATAACTTGTGCTCTAGGAAACACAGGGCAAAACCAACATAGTGAAGTACCTTGTTCCCACTAGAAGCTTTTTCTACCCAGTGAATCAGTAGCAAATGATTATAGTCAGAACACCATTCTTCCTGGATAATGCAGAACCATATTTATAAATCCCCATTCATCCATTTCGCTTCCCTATTTTAGATTCCATGCAAACCAACAGCCTTCTGTGTGCATTTGACATTATTATTCTTTTTCATTCCAACATACTTTTTATAACTATAAAATTTTCAAGTTGACAAAGCATTCCCCATTGCTTTCCTCCTTGGTTTCACTGTATCGTGTGCACTTCAGGAGTTACTTTAATCAGCCATTTCTCTGTAAATCACAATGTAAGATATTGACAATTAATTCCAACAAAGCGGGTGATGTTCTGCTAACTTAGATCCCAGAGGCATTCTGTAAACCACTGTTTAGGTTGGGAGATTTATAACACCTTTCAGGGAGGTACAAAACCTTTTGGCAGCTGACCACCTTTCTCAGATACCAAATAAAGTATCACCCAACATAAATAGACAGCTCTTACCTTTGAAGTTCTATTTTGCATTTTACTCAGGGATTAACTGAAAGTGATTTTGGTGGTTTTCTTTTCTTTCTTTCTTTTTTTTTGAAATCTTCAGATAAAAGAAAGTTACTGAATTCGCTACATAAAGATCAGTCTCACCTGCCCTGACAACCTCTGACAATCCTGTCCTCACCTCTATGTTGCAGAAATCAGCATTCCCTGTTTACAGCAGAACTACATAAAACGATAGCAATTTCCTTGTGCACATCAATTTTCTTTGTGGATGGGCAGCCTGTTGCAATAATGAGGTCTGTCAGCTCTTTGCAAAAGAACTGGAAAGTGGCCTTACTCGTGTGGAAATCGAATAGCAACTTGTCACTCTCCCTTGGCAGCATAGCCCCAGACTGTCAATGTGGTGTCCTGTGTCACATTGTGGCAGTGGGCTAGGTCCCTGCCTGAAGAGATGCTGCTGATTAGGCCATTTTGCTCTTTCCTGCAGAATTCATGATCTACCCAGCACTGTCCTCATGATTGACTTTTAGCAAATGAGGTTGCCAAGTCCTGGGTATTTTAGTCTGTTAGTAACTAGTACAAATTCTGGCATCATAATTCATGCAATAAAAACCAGTTAATGAAAATAATCCAGGGATTGGTAATATAGTTAACTCTCCATATCCAAGTTTCACATCCAAGTATTTAACCAATTGCAAATCAAATATATTTGGAAAAAACAATAATAAAAATAATACAAATTTAAAAATACACTATCATAACTATTTACAGAGCATTTACATTGCCTTAGGTATTATAAGTAATCAAAAGATGATTTTAAAGTATACAGAAGGATATGTGTAGGTTATATGCAAAATTCTTGGCCATTTTATAGAAAGAACTTGAAAATCTGCAGATTTTGGTCCTGGAACCAACCTGCCTGGATACTGAGAGATGACTGTTACCCATTATGTTTTTTCCTTCTGCCATGACAAATGTGTTACCCTGTTGGACTGAAGTATTCTCCTGTCTCTCTCTATCATTCTACTTCTAGATTATACCTAATAAGAAGTAAGATTTTTTTCCAAAGAAATTCAAAATATTGTTCCAGCAAGTCATTCTCTCAGACATTACATGCCAGCTAATTGATTTTTAATCTTTTTCTTTTCAGCTTCATTACGTTTTACACCTCAGTATATTTTTGTACTCTCTCACTTTTTGTAGAAACAAGACATCAGATTTCTAGCTTTAGCAGGACTGTTCAGTATACCAATTCCTGTTAACACAGCTGTTAAATATTGAGATCATGCTGCATGTTAAATGAAATTGATTTTCAAAGTAAATTAAATCCCTGAATGAAAGTGGGTCTATCTTTCCACAGGAAGGAAGAAATGTTAAGAGGGTTGCATGTATAAGCAGACCTTGGGAAAATGAGCTGAATTGTCAACCTCTATGGCGAATAGTTTAGAGGTTCATCAGAAAACTAAAAATATAACTACCATATGATCCAGCAACCCCACTGCTGGGTATATACCCGAAATATGGGAATTCAGTATATTGAAGATAAATCTGCACTCCCATGTGTTTTTTTGTTTGTTTGTTTTTGTAGCACTGTTGATAATAGCCAACATTTGGGAGCAACCTAAGCGTTCATCAACAGATGAATGAATATGGAACAGTTGTATTATGGTGCAACAATCTACCTGTCTCAAGAGCCTTAAAAGTAAACTACATCCAGTACAAGTCCAAACATAAAACACAAAGATATAGATGTTTAAAATACAATGACATTTGTCTGACAGCCAGTAGGACCATCTAAATTGGTCTAGAGTCAATTGTACCTAGTATCCTCGTTCATTTCTTCATACCAGGAGAGGAAAAATAAGGTTGAAGTAAGTAATGCCTATAAAGCAATTATCACATTTTAATTAGCTGACTCTGGTTATAGCTAATGGATGGAGAGGATTTACATACAAGTTTTAAAATACTGAATGTTATATGCTCTTGTTAACCCACATTATTTATTGCATTTGTAAAAAAAAAGTAGGTTTTATCCTTATAGTCCTTAGTTCTCTCCTCTGTCCCCAATTCTCTCTTCTACTCTAGGATTCTACTCAGGTAGATTTTAATTTTAAGTTACATTTTATTATTAAATAAAAGTATGTTTTTTAATCTACGTTTATTTTTATCTGCATTTGTTAGGTAAAAAAAAAAAAAAAAAAATTACTCAGGGATTGACCCAAACGGATTATGGTGGTTTTTTTTTTCTGTTTTAATGTGGCAGTAATTCTAATAATTATGTATCACATAGATTATAGATTATATAGAGTGTATCAAAAACATATGTATATTCTCATAAGCACAGAAAAAAGTCTCCATTAGTTTTTCTGTTCTTTTCTAATTTTCCATTATATTGTGAAATAAAGACAAATCATTACTTAGCAAATATTTGTCATGTTCTCACGGGGAAGTGTTAAGAAATTTAGAGGAGTTATAAAAGTGGAATAGAAGACAATGAGGGCTGTCATGTGACTTATTACCAGATTTTTGAGAGATAAGACTTGCTCAGGTAAAATTAATTGCACAAGCCTTCAATCCTTTCATGGGAAAAACTATATGAAAAGATTATTCTATGTATTTCTAAATGCAAATAAATATAATAAAAGTTGAAGCAAGTTGAGGACTTGGGGTGGAATAATCAGAGCCAGGTAAAGTGAACTCAGGGGTCACTGAGGAGATAGACTTTCTGGTAGAAAGAAAAACAGAAAGGTGGGCGTAGTAACTTTTTCAGTAAGGAGAATGGTCTAAAGATCGGCAAATTATGGTTTGTGGGACAAATCTGGCAAGTGGTCAATTTTTTATGACTTCCAGCTATAAATAGTTTTTACTTTTTGAAGCATTGTAAAAATCAAAGAAGAGTATAATGTAAAGATAATATGGCTCACATATTCCGAGCCATACTAAACAATTCACTGTGTATCTGAAATGTGTCTTTAACTGGGCATCCTGTATTTTTAGAAGTTAATTCTGGCAACCGTATGTAAGGTCCAGTGACACTGCCTGATGATGTTCTTACTTGTTCCGTGAATAGGTTGTACCTTCCTGCAGGCTCTATGCAAATGCTTGGAATCAAGCTAAGGTTGACATTTGCTATTAATAGATATACACTTTTGGCCACATCTCTTAAACTCTCTGAGCCTTCTGCTTTTATTAGTGTGAAACAATGAAATGCACTCCACGAAAGTAATGTCTGTCTTATCTTGAAGAGCAGAATATTAGAACTACATGGGAGCTTGGTTATCTTTTACTGAATGCTTTATTTACAGATTGTAAAGCAGGTCTAGACTTTACCAAAAACCCAGATTTCTACTGTGATGACATGACATTTTGTGAACCCTGGGTATCATATGGCGCTGTTCAATGCTTTTCCCCTTCTATACTGCACTGTCTTCTCTGTCTTCAAAGAACATAGGAAATAATGTACATTAAATGTTTTGTAACCTTAAATGTGCAAAATGTAAACTTACAGAATGATTATGTCTAGGCTGATATCAGAACATGGGAATCATCTCTCTAATTATGCCAATTCACAATCACACTCAAGAAAAATGTTTGGGTACCAGCACCTTAAGGTGCTTTAAGGGTGGAAAACCACTTAAAGGCATTCTTAAGCCACAAACAATAGCATGAGCAATCTGTGCCTTAAGGACATGCTCCTGCTGCAGTTAACCAGCCCAACCTATTCCTTTAATTCGGCCCATCCATTTGTTTCCCATAAGGGATACTTTTAGTTAATTTAATATCTATAGAAACAATGCTAATGACTGGTTTGCTGTTAATAAATATGTGGGTAAATCTCTGTTCAGGGCTCTCAGCTCTAAAGGCTGTGAGACCCCTGATTTCCCACTTCACACCTCTATATTTCTGTGTGTGTGTCTTTAATTCCTCTAGTGCCACTGGGTTAGGGTCTCCCTGACCGAGCTGGTCTCGGCAAGTTGTGTCCATCGTGGGGGCTCGAATCCAGATCGAAGTGTTTCTGGAGCGATGGTTGGAATGGAAAACTAGCTGGAGGACACCCGAGTACTCTTAAAGCAATCCTCGTGGTGAGTAAGAAGGGGAGCTAGGAAGTGTCAGGGTAACAATGGGACAGGTGTGGGGTCTGGTTCATTTCACCTTGGAAGTTTTTCACACTGGTGATGAGGAGGAACAAGAGTATAGTGAAGTAACAGAAGACGTTACAGAGCATGTTTATTTACCAGCTAAAGCTAAAGTGGCAAAGGAAGAAGAGGTTCATCTCTACTCTTATGCACTCCCTCCTTATTATTTTGAAGAAAATGACCCCCCAGATCTTTCTTTTCCGGAGGACACTGGGTGAAAAGTAGTTGCCCCAGTGACTGTTCGAGCAGTGCCTCGAGCGACCGCTCTTAGTTCTATTCAGGCAGGAATTCAGCAAGCTAGACAAGAGGGTGATTTAGAGGCTTGGCAGTTCCCTGTTAGAATACACCCCCCAGATCAACAGGAAAATATTACAGCTACATTTGAGCCTTTTCCTTTTAAATTACTCAAAGAATTAAAACAAGCTATAAATCAGTATGGACCAGGTTCTCCTTTTGTAATGGGACTGTTAAAGAATGTTACTGTTTCTAGTCAGATGATTCCTACTGACGGGGACCCTCTTACTCGAGCTTGTCTAACTCCTGCTCAGTTCTTACAGTTTAAAACTTGGTGGGCAGATGAAGCTTCCATTCAGGCTGCTCGCAATGCCTGGGCCCAACCTCAAATTAATATAACTGCAGACCAACTTTTGGGGGTTGGCGGCTGGGCTGGTTTAGATGCGCAATTCGTCATGCAGGATGATGCCATAGAACAGCTTAGAGGAGTGTGCATTAGAGCTCGGGAAAAAAATCACTTAATGTGGGGAACAATACCCTTCCTTTAGTGCTATAAAACAGGGACCAAGAGAACCATATGTTGATTTTACAGCTCGGTTACAGGAGTCTCTTAAAAAGATGATTGCAGATTCGGCTGCTCAGGATATAGTGTTGCAGTTATTAGCTTTCGACAATGCTAATTCCGATTGCCAGGCTGCTCTGTGACCTATCAGAGGGGAAGCATATTTAGTTGATTATATCAAGGTCTGTGATGGTATTGGAGGTAATCTGCATAAAGCTACTTTGTTGGCACAGGCAATGGCAGGACTGAGAGTGGATTAAGGAAATACTCCATTTCCTGGAGCTTCTTTTAACTGTGGGACGCATGGTCATACTAAAAAAGAATGTAGAAAAAATCAGCAAGTCAGGCCACCAGATAGGGGAAAGAAGAAAACTGTTGAGCCAGAAATATGTCCAAAATATAAAAAAGGAAAACACTGGGCTAGTCAGTGTCACTCTAAGTTTGATAAAGAAGGGAAACCGATTTAGGGAAATGCCCTGAGGGGCTGGTCCTAGGCCCCGTTCTAAACCAGGGCATTTCCAGCTCAGGTCATTCCCTCACCCCTGTACAATGTCTGTCCCCTGCCACAGCCAGTAGTGCCACAGTAGATTTATGCTGCAGAAAAGCTGTGAGCCTTCTGCCTGGGGAACCCCCACAAAAGGTTCCAAAAGGAGTCTGTGGACCCTTGCCAGCAGGGACAATAGGATTACTTTAGGAAGGTCTAGTGTAAGTTTAAAAAGGGTACAAATACATACAGGAGTCATTGATTTAGATTACAATGGGGAAATTCAAATTGTTATATCTACTTCTGTTCCCTGGAAAGCAGAGCCAGGAGAGTGCATAGCACAGCTCCTGATTGTGCCGTATGTGGAAATGGGGAAAGGTGAAATTAAATGAACAAGAGGATTTGGAAGCACACATAAACAAGGCAAAGCCGCTTATTGGGTAAATCAAATTACTGATAAAGGTCCTACGTGTGAAACAACTATTCAAGGAAAGAAATTTAAAGGTTTGCTAGATACAGGAGCAGATATTTCAATCATTTCTCTTACAACACTGGCCGTCCACGTGACCAATTCAACCTGCTCAATTTAATATAGTTGGAGTTGGCAAAGCCGCTGAAGTATATCAAAGTAGTTATATTTTGCATTGTGAAGGGCCCGATGGACAACCTGGGACTGTTCAACCAATTATAACTTCTGTACCTATAAATTTATGGGGAAGAGATTTGTTACAACAATGGGGAGCACAAATTCTAATTCCAGAACAATTATATAGCCCTCAAAGTGAACATACAATGCATGAAATGGAGTATGTCCCTGGTATGGGACTAGAAAAAAATTTGCAAGGTTTGAAAAACCACTTCAAGTGGCAAAACAAAGTTCCTGCCAAAGATTAGGAAATAATTTTTGATGGCTGCCATTGTGAAGCCTGCAGAACCTGTACCTTTAAAATGGTTAACAGATAAGCCAATTTGGATAGAACAATGGCCGCTAAGTAAAGAAAAACTGGAAGCTTTAGAGAAATTAGTAGCTGAACAATTAAAAAATGGGCACATAGCTCCAATATTTTCCCCTTGGAATTCTCCAGTTTTCGTAATTAACAAAAAATCAGGTAAATGGAGAATGTTAACTGACTTAAGAGCCATGAATTCAGTTATAGAATCTATGGGAGCATTACAGCCAGGATTGCCTTCTGCTATAATTCCAAAAAATTGGCCTTTAATAGTCATAGATTTAAAAGACGGTTTATTTACTATCCCTTTAGCTGAGCAAGACTGTGAATGGTTTGCATTTACAATTCCTGTGGTAAATAACCTGCAGCCTGCTAAGCGTTTTCATTGTTTTACAGATGGGTCTAATAATGGTAAAGCTTCTTATTCTGGATCAAAAAATAAAGTTTTCCAGATGTCCTATACTTCAGCTCAAAAAGCAGAGCTTGTAGCTGTAATTGAGGTATTGACTGCTTTTGATATGCCCATTAATGTGATTTCTGATTCTTCATAAGTGGTTCATTCCACACAGTTAATTGAAAATGCTCAGTTACGATTTCATACAGATGAACAACTGATGACTTTATTTACCCAATTACAAACAGCAGTTAGGAGTAGAATGCACCCTTTTTACATCACTCACATTAGGGCTCATACACCTCTTCCAGGACCTTTGACTGAAGGGAATCAAATGGCTGATCGCCTAGTTGCTAATGCAATATCTAGTGCTAGACACTTTCAGCAACACCTGTTGAACACAGCCACCCACCTGGGGACAGATCAAGAAGCTGTCACAGATGGCGGAAAAAACTTGAGGAAAGCGGGACAAGCAGTCACGAGTAATTTAATGGTAGCTATAATAGCAGTTATCACCACTGCCATGAGTATTCCTTCAACAAGGGCTGACACAGAGAACAATTATACTTATTGGGCATATTGATCAATCTTGGCTGGCAATAATGCCTGGATGCAATCACTCTATGACACAGTTACACATGCTTTCTGATCTCAGTATTTACCATAATAAATCTGCTCCTGTAATTGAGACATACTGCCCTCAAAAACCTATTTGTAAACAGGATTGGACCCACTTAGAAAAAATGAACGTACTTGTTTAGGAAGATTACATTGCAGAACAGGCAGAGATGCTGCACAAAAATTCCTATGGAATCATTATTGATTGGTCCCCTAAGAGGATGTTTAGCTTGAATTGCACCTCTCAGTCTGCATGCCACAGCCACACTATGTTCAGATGATCTGAAAAAAATGGTCAGATGGTAGAAATGATAAGAAGTACGGCAAAAGTTCCTATTGTCTGGAACCATAGTGGTATGGTGGCACCTCAACCTCAAATGATATGGCCCACTGTAGGAGCTAAACATAAGGATTTGTGGAAACTCTTACATGTTCTTAATAAGATCAAAATTTAGGAAAGTATATAAAAGCATCTAGAACACTCTACAAACTTGTTTTTGGATATAGCAAAATTAAAAGAACAAATATTTAAAGCATCCCAGGCACACCTGACCTTAATGCCAGGAACTGGAGTGCTTAAAGGAGCTGCAGACAAATTAGTAGGTAGTAACCCATTAAAATGGAAAAAAGCACTTGGAAGCTCTGTGATTTCAATGATGACTGTTCTTTCAATCTATGTTCTTTGTCTTTGTATAGTCTGCAGATGTGGATCCCAACCCCTGCGAGAAGGAGCTCACCGTGACAAAGCTGCCATTGCTTTTGTCGATTTGCAAATCAGAGAAGGGGGACATGTTGGGAGCAAGCCCCCCAAAATCTGGCCATAAACTGGCCCCAAGACTGGCCATAAACAAAATCTCTGCAGCACTGTAGTATGTTCATAATGGCCCTAACGCCCAAGCTGGAAGGTTGTGGGTTTACAGGAATGAGGGCAAGGAACACATGGCCCACCCAGGGTGGAAAACCGCTTAAAGGCATTCTTAAGCCACAAATAGCTTGAGCGATCTGTGCCTTAAGGGCGTGTTCCTGCTGCAGTTAACTAGCCCAACCTATTCCTTTAATTTGGCCCATCCATTCGTTTCCTATAAGGGATACTTTTAGTTAGTTTAATATCTGTAGAAACAATGCTAATGACTGGTTTGCTGTTAATAAATATGTGGGTAAATATCTGTTCAGGGCCCTCAGCTCTGAAGGCGGTCAGACCCCTGATTTCCCACTTCACACCTCTATATTTCTGTGTGTGTGTCTTTAATTCCTCTAGCCCTGCTGGGTTAGGGTCTCCCCAGCTAAGCTGGTCTTGGCAGAATTCGTCCTTTTTTATGGCTGCACAGTATTCCATGGCGTATATGTGCCACATTTTCTTAATCCAGTCTATCATTGTTGGACATTTAGGTTGGTTTCAAGTCTTTGCTATTGTGAATAGTGCCACAATAAGCATACATGTGCATGTGTCTTTATAGCAGTATGATTTAATCCTTTGGGTATATACCCAGTAATGGGATGGCTGGGTCAAATGGTATTTCTAGTTCTAGATCCTTGAGGAATCGCCACACTGTCTTCCACAATGGTTGAACTAGTTTACAGTCCCACCAACACTGTAAAAGTGTTCCTCTTTCTCCACATCCTCTCCAGCACCTGTTGTTTCCTGACTTTTTAATGATCGCCATTCTAACTGGTATGAGATGGTATCTCACTGTGGTTTTGATTTGCATTACTCTGATGGCCAGTGATGATGAGCATTTTTTCATGTGTCTGTTGTCTGCATAAATGTCTTCTTTTGAGAAGTGTCTGTTCATATCCTTTGCCCACTTGTTGATGGGGTTGTTTGTTTTTTTCTTGTAAGTTTGAGTTCATTGTAGATTCTGGATATTAGCCCTTTGTCAGATGGGTAGATTGTAAAAATTTTCTCCCATTCTGTAGGTTGCCTGTTCACTCTGATGGTAGTTTCTTTTGCTGTGCAGAAGCTCTTTGGTTTAATTAGATCCCATTTGTCAATTTTGGCTTTTATTGCCATTGCTTTTGGTGTTTTAGACATGAAATCCTTGCCCATGCCTATGTCCTGAATGGTATTGCCTAGGTTTTCTTCTAGGGTTTTTATGGCTTTAGGTCTAACATTTAAGTCTTTAATCCATCTTGAATTAATTTTTGTATAAGATATAAGGAAGGGATCCAGTTTCAGCTTTCTACATAAGGCTAGCCAGTTTTCCCAGCACCATTTATTAAATAGGGAATCCTTTCCCCATTTCTTGTTTTTGTTTCATTTTGTCAGGTTTGTCAAAGATCAGAAGGCTGTAGATGTGTGGTATTATTTCTGAGGACTCTGTTCTGTTCCATTTTTCTATATCTCTGTTTTGGTACCAGTACCATGCTGTTTTGGTTAATGTATCCTTGTAGTGTAGTTTGAAGTCAGGTAGCGTGATGCCTCCAGCTTTGTTCTTTTGGCTTAGGATTGTCTTGGCAATACGGGCTCTTTTTGGTTCCATATGAACTTTAAAGTAGGTTTTTTCCAATTCTGTGAAGAAAATAATTGGTAGCTTGATGGGGATGGCATTGAATCTATAAATTACTTTGGGCAGTATGGCCATTTTCACAATGTTGATTCTTCCTATCCATGAGCATGGAATGTTCTTCCTTTTGTTTCTGTCCTCTTTTATTTCATTGAGCAGTGGTTTATAGTTCTCCTTGAAGAGGTCCTTCACATCCCTTGTAAGTTGGGTTCCTAGGTATTTTATTCTCTTTGAAGCAATTGTGAGTGAGAGTTCACTCATGATTTGGCTCTCTGTTTGTCTGTTATTTGTGTATAAGAATGCTTGTGATTTTTGTACATTGATTTTGTATCTGAGACTTTGCTGAAGTTGCTTATCAGCTTAAGGAGACTTTGGGCAGAGACAATGGGGTTTTCTAAATATACAATCATGTCATCTGCAAACAGGGACAATTTGACTTCCTCTTTTCCTAACTGAATAGCCTTTATTTCTTTCTCCTGCATGAAAACACCTCTATGCAAATAAACTAGAAAATCTAGAAGAAATGGATAAATTCCTGGACACATACACCCTCCCAAGACTAAACCAGGAAGAAGTTGAATCCATGAATAGACCAATAACAGGCTCTGAAATTGAGGCAATAATTAATAGCCTACCAACCAAAAAAAGTCCAGGAGCAGGCAGATTCACAGCCAAATTCTACCAGAGGTACAAGGAGGAGCTGGTACCATTCCTTCTGAAACTACTCCAATCAATAGAAAAAGAGTGAATCCTCCCTAACTCATTTTATGAGGCCAGCATCATCCTGATACCAAAGCCTGGCAGAGACACAACAAAAAAAAGATAATTTTAGATCAATATCCCTGATGAACATCGATGCAAAAATCCTCAATAAAATACTGGTAAACCGAATCCAGCAGCATATTAAAAAGCTATCCACCATGATCAAGTGGGCTTCATCCCTGGGATGCAAGGTTGGTTCAACATACATAAATCAATAAATGTAATCCATCATATAAACAGAACCATAAACAAGAACCACATGATTATCTCAATAGATGCAAAAAAGGCCTTTGACAAAATTCAACAGCACTTCATGCTAAAAACTCTCAATAAATTAGGGATTGATGGGATGTATCTGAAAATAGTAAGAGCTATCTATGACAAACCCACAACCAATATCATACTGAATGGGAAAAAAACTGGTAGTGTTCCCTTTGAAAACTGGCACAAGACAGGTATGCCCTCTCTCACCACTCCTATTCAACATAGTGTTGGAAGTTCTGGCAAGAGTTAACTTTTTTTAACTTTTATTTTAGGTTCAGGGGTACATGTGTAGGTTTGTTATATAGGTAAATTGTGTGTTGCAGGGGTTTGGTATATAGATTATTTTGTTACCCAGGTAATAAGCATACTACCTGGTAGGTAGTTTTTCCAACCTCACTCTCTTCCCAGCCACCACTCTCAAGTAGGTCCTAGTGTCTGTTGTACCCTTCTTTGTGTCCATATGTATTAAAAATTTTAGTTCCCACTTCTAAGTGAGAACATGTGGTTTTTTGTTTTGTGTTCCTGTGTTATTCGTAGTTTGCTTAGGATAATGGCCTCTAGCTGCATCTGTGTTGCTGTGAAGGACATGATGTCGTTCTTTTTTATGGCTGCATAGTATTCCATTGTGTATATGCACCACATTTTTTAAAAATCCAGTCTGCTGTTGATGGGCATTTAGGGTGACTCCATGTTTCTGCTATTGTGAATATTGCTTCAATGAACATATGTGTGCTTGTATCTTTATGGTAGAATGATTTATATGCATTTGGATATATACTTAGTTATGGGATTGCTGGGTCGAATGGTAATTCTGTTTTAAGTTCTATGAGAAATCACCAATCTGCTTTCCACAGTGGCTGAAATAACTTACATTCCCACCAGTGTTGTGTAAGTGTTCCTTTTTTTTTTTCTACAGTCTCACCAGCATCTAATATGTTTTGACTTTTTAATAATAGCCATTCTGGCTGCTGTGAGATGATATCTCATTGTGATTTTGATTTGCATTTTTCTAATGATTATAATGTTGAGCATTTTGTCTTATGCTTTTTGGCTTTGTGTATGCCTTCTTTGAAAAGTGTCTATTCCTGCTTTTTGTTCACTTTTTAATGGGTTTGCTTGTTTTTTTCTTGTAAATTTGCTTAGGTTCCTTATATATTCTGGATCTTAAAAGTATACTACAAAGCTACAGTAACCCAAACAGCATGGCATTGGTACAAAAACAGATACATAAACCATTGAAATAGAATACCAGGCTCAGAAATAATGTTGCAAGTATAAAATCATCTAATCTTCAACAAAATTGAGAAAAACAAGCAATGGGGAAAGGATTCCCTATTCAATAAATGGTGCTGGGATAACTGGCTAGTCATATGCAGAAGACTGAAACCAGACCACTTCCTTTTACTATATACAAAAATCAACTCAAGATATATCAAAGACTTAACTGTAAAACCTAAAACTATAAAAACCCTGGAAGAGAACCTAGGAAATACCATTTTGGACAGCACGTGGCAAAGATTTCATAATGACTCCAAAAGCAACTGCAACAAAAACAAAAATTGGCAAATGGAAGCTAATTAAACTGAAGGGCTTCTGTGGAGCAAAAGAAACCAACAGAGTAAATATTCTACAGAATGGAAAAAAGAATTGCAAACCCTGCATTCAATATTAATGGTTATTAATATCCATTCATATCCAGAAGGGTTTACTTTTCTTAACCCAAGTATTTTATTAGATAGAGGCTGTGCGGAAGAGTGTTTTGGAATATATTCCTTGCTTCCTGCTCATGGCAGGGACAGAGTCTTCAAGCAGAACTACCCAGTCTATGATTAATAAATATACTAGAGTAAGTTTTCCTATAGGGTCAGTTTAGTCCCTTAGAAAAAAAATATGTTGTTTGAAAACACAATTGGATAAAGACCACTCGTGTCTATGTGCATATAGTTGCATGTATATATAAGAAGATATATATACACACACATATATATCTATATCTATATATGTGTACACACACATGCAAACACAAATCACTAGGCTTGCATCTGAAACAGAGCCACTGTATGGCTGTTGGTTTGATTTTGTAGCTATAAATACCTATCGTATACTCATCACTGTACTGAGAACCATTATTTGAATTATTCCTTGATTAAACTAATTCTTCATCTTAAGTCTGATACCTTTGGAGGTTCTCTAACTTTTAAGTTGGTGGAGTAGGCTTATATTTAACATATTGATGCATTAGAAACTTGGGAAAGCATTCAGATTAGAAATTTGTTGGGAAGGGGAAAGATGTGTACTCATCCTTTAAATACAATGTGAATGGGACTACTGCTTTGGTGTTTGTTAATTTGTCACTCCCTCCTCCTTCTCTCCCCTCACCCATTTTGACCACTTATTTTTACTTGGATTATTACAAGATCATGCTAATTAAATGTCCTGTCTCCAGTCTGAGTCCACACCCCCCAAAATCAATAAAACAAGTAATCATTCCTTCTCATGTCTCTGAATAAGGTGATGAGTAAGTTGTCTTATGATTGATTATTCTCAGGATTTGTAAACATTACTTCTAGATATTTTTCAGAAGCAAAATGAACTTTTGCCTACAATCTAAAGGCATTTAACAGAATCCCACAGAGAATTCTTTAGTTTCCTAGTGTACTCATCTTTAGGTTGTATTCCACAAACCTCCATAGCTGGGGTACTTGGAAGCTGATGTGACCATTTTAGGTGTTCATTTGAAACTGGCTATTAGCTGAGGAGAATCTGGGCTTCTACAGACAGGAAAAGGAATCACTTCTAGCACCAAGGTTGTAAAACTCTGCAGTATTGTGGTATTATAGATGATTGTGCTCTTATAGACACTATGTCTTTATTTTGTGGATAAAGAAACTAGGAGTCAATGTTGTTTAGTGTAAGCCTTTATAAGGGAGGGAAAAAAACATTATATAAGGATGACTAATGCAATGTAAGAGGAGTTACTTTGGCACAACGGTGATGTATTTTTCCTTTGCAGTTTTGTAACAGTTTCTAGCTATTAGATAACTATGTCAGAAAAGTTGCATTTGAATTGACTTTCAGAAGAACTTAAAACAGTTCATTATTTTTGTTGCATTTGCAAAAGTGACCTCCAACTTCTGGCTTCAGTGAAAGTGATTTTGCCTGCAGTTAATTATTTCCATTTGCACCACATCAGCAAAGTCATTCAGGTAGACTCCTAAAATCAGTCTAGTCTGCTTCTCTCTCACTCTCATATCACATTCCAATTCTGTTGTTAGTCTTCCTATGAGATTTTTCTTGCATCTTACCCTTCCCTCTATAATCACTGCACTCATGCTCAACAAGGTCCCAATCATCTCTTGGCTGGATAGTGCAGCAGGCTTCTTACTATTTTCTTGTCTTAGCTCTTCCTACACTCCCATTTATTCCCTATATTACAGCCACAGTAATTTTTCTAAAATGCAAATGCAAGCATTTCACTCAACTCCATACAAACCTCACTGTCTTCCCAGCCCTTAATCTTAAGTCTAAGCTCCCCAAATGGCATGTAAGACTCTACAGGTTTCTAGTGACAACTTTTACTATTTCCTTCCTCATACTTTTAGATTTAGAGTTATTGAACTACATGTACTTTCAAGATTCTATCCTGTTTCTGTGCCTTTTCACAGGCTGCTCACTCTTCCAGAGACACTTTTCTCCAGTCCCTTTGTTTCACATCACCATTAACCTTGGTAACTTTTATTCATCTTTCAAAACTCTCTGCAGGTGTCACATGCTCTGGGAAGTAATGCATCAATCCCTCTTCTGTATTGAGGTACTATATATGTTGGTGATTAATAGGATATGCTCTGGAGTCAGACAGCCTAGGATCAAATCCTAGCACCACATTTTTGTAGCTATGGTACCTTAAACAAGCTGTTTTATTTCTCTGTGCCTCAAGTAAGACTTCATACTTGAGATAATAATAATAATGCCTCCTCATTGACTAATTATCTGGATATTAAAAAAAACTACCATATGACTCAGCAATCCCATTAATGAGTATATATCCAAAGGAAATGAAATCAGTATGTTGAAGAGGCATCTGAGCCCCTGTGTTTATTGCAGTACTATTCATACTAACCAAGGTATGGAATCAACCTAAAAGTCCATCTACAGATGAACAGATAAAAATATTCCACTCATACAGTGGAATACTATTGTATCATAAAACAGAATGAGAGCCTGTCATTTATAGCAACATGGATGAAGCTGGGGGACATTATGTTAAGTGAAATAAGCCAGGCACAGAAAGACAAACTCTGCATGATCTCATTGATATGTGGAATCTTAAAATGTTGATTTTATAAAATTACAGTACAATAGTGGTTATGAGAGGCTGGGGGTGGGGGCGGGTACGAGGGTGTTCCAGAGAAGTCGATCAAGGAGTACAAAGTTACAGTTAGATGGAAAGAATAAGTTTGGTGTTATATTACACAGGAGGGAGACAATAGCAAATAACAATGTAGTGTATATTTCACTATAGCTAGAAGAGAAGATTTTTTAAGATTGTTACTACAAAGAAATGATAAATGTTTAAAGTGATGACTTTGATAATTACTCCCATTTAATCATTATACAATATATGCATGTATTGAAAAATCACACTGTACCTCATAAGTACAATTATCACGTGTCATTGTCAATTTGATAATGAATTAATAAAAAGAAGAGTGCTTGTTATACAGTAAGGTATTAATAAATATAGCTACAGTTATTGTTACTAACTTGTGAATTCAATTATTACATATATTAGTCTGAATTATAATTATTTCTTTATACTCCGGTATCTCACACTAACATTTAAAAAAGACTTTGAGGGCAAAGGCAGGAATTTATTCATCTTTATATTTTCAAAAGCTGCTGTGAAGCCAGGAAACTAATATACACTCAGTAGAACCTGGTTGAATATGGGATGCTTTAAGGAAACAAAATATTATATAAAAATGAGGCAATATCATTTCACCATGAGAAAGAAAGAAAGTATAAGGACAATTCAAAATTAAAGATGATTCAAGAAGAGTTAAAATTGATGTTGGTTTACATTTTCAGATGTAAATTGCTTAGGCTAACATCAAAATATGACTATATTTGAGAGTTAAGTGCCTGTAATGGTGGAAAAACAGAATGTTTTGATGGGAAGGTAAGTAAAAAAATTACATTTTCTGTTGACTAATACACAAAGCCTGCCAACACTTCCAAGGAGCTCCAACTGTTGGACATGAATACCCCACTGCACACTCAAATGCCTGGCTTCCTACATCTCTTCTGCCAGGACCATACTTCTGCTGTTATTGGTGCACTGGATCCATTGCCCCATAAATTTACATATATGAAGCCATGGGATCAGCCTGCAAAGGCCCTCACATCCTTTTAAGTTTCCACTCTCCCACCAGAACATTCACAAAATGGACCTCTCAGAAGCTTTCAGGGTCCTGGTAATGACCTCAGACCCTAAAATTCCCAGAACCTTTTCCCCCAACCATAAATTTAAGCTATACTTGAAGGGGGTTTGGGTGGTGGCAGGAACCACATCCAGAATTTCAAACACCTGAGTCTAAAATAATCATTTAAAGTTAATTTTTGCAAGCTGAATACAGTCTGGCTTACTAAATCCATGGAGACTGACAATTGAGAGTAAATTGTACATTTTTTCAGACTGTAAATGTTTACATAAGCACATAAAAACCAGACACACACAGCTCCTTATTCAGATACATTTTTGAAAACTTAGTGCATTGTCCAAAAAAAAAACCTATAAAAATATTTAAATGAATGATTTAACTAAATTCTGTTTGAGAAGCCATGAAGAGAGTTTGGGGTAGGGATTTAAATTAAATTAACACAATTATAGCCAGCAACCATGAAACAACAGAAGTCATGTTTGGCATAGCAAGCTGATGCACATACCTCAATTCACATTGCAGTGATCATTTTGAGACTAAAATTGTCAGATCCCAGGAGACAGAGAATATAGTCACATTCTAATTAAAGTAAAACTCTTTATAAGTGCATTGAAGGAGGTATACAAGCAGAATGACTATATAGAAATCTCTAAAATTAAGCATTTATTGAGTAATTTACAAAACAGGCTGATTTTGGTGGGATTATTTGATTTTTGTGAAAATCAAAGGCAAAGACTTTAATAATTATTATAGTAATAATAGCAATAATAATAATAACATCCTAACACTGTTTTAAATGCATATGCCTTTTTTCTTTAAATCCAAGGTGAGTTGATGATGTCGCTATAATTTCATCATATTAAATTAGAAAAATGAAAAAAATAGCCTGAAAGTTTTCTATTGGCCTGTGGCACATTCCTGAATTTCATGCTGTTTTTCAACTCTGCTCCAGGGATAATGAGATATTATTTTGGGTGTGAAATGCTGTCCAATGCGTTAGCTGTGACAGGATTGCACAGAGACGTATTCAACTGACTGGTAGAAAATTTTGCAAACATAGTGAACCTTGTTTCAAAATAAATTACTGCAGTTTTCTGGCTCTGTAATGTTAAAATTTCAATATAAATGTGAGGCAAATGCTATGAGTAGATTAAAAAAAAAGAGATTCCTGTTGACAGTAAGTACAAGACAACATATGATATTGGGGGTGCATACAACACATGGCTGGTTAATCTTCAAGGCTCATTTCATGTCGGGAAACAGAGCCAAGTGAGAACAGTCCCTTCCAAATTCAGACAACTACACAAAAGCCAACTACACAAAGCAGCATTATCTCATTAAGCAAAGCTGTCTTTCCCCCAGTCAATCATCTTGAATAAAATAAATTGATGTTCAATTTTTAAAAAATTAAAGACTGGTAAAATTCAAGAAAGCTCCTGGCACGTTTAGTCTCTGCCGTACCATTGCTTCCTCAGCATGAGCTGTTTTCAGGAACAAAACAGCAATTGACACTAATTAATACTAATTACTCATCTTGAGCTTACTTTTTAGTTCATCTGGCCTTACCAATATGTCCTACTGAAGTTAACCATTTGCTTGAGGACTGAATAATTTTTTCAGCTCATCTCTAACCCATGCTGTTTTACAAGCATGCTTACCTGTGTATAGGGAGGAAAAAGAATAAATGGGTTGTGGTCATATAAAATGGGTGTACTTAAACCTTGAAAAGATTATAAGCTTCTTTAAGATTTAATGCTTTTTCATAGATTTATACCAACGATACATTATCTGTGTACAGAAACACTGTTTTATTGTGCTGCACTTTATCATACTTTGCAGATGTGTTTTTTCCAAATTGAAGGCTTATGGCAACTCTGTGTTGAGCAAGTCTATCAGCACCATTTTTCCCATAGCAGGTGCTCACTTTGTGTCTCTGTGTCATGTTTTGGTAATTATCACAATATTTCAATCTTTTTATTATTAATATATCCACGATGGTGATTTGTGATCAGTAATCTTTGATTTTACTATTCCAGTTGTTTGGGGGCACTGCAAATTGCACCCATATAAGATGGTGAACTTAATCAATAAATGTTATATATGTGCTGAACACTGCACTGACTGGCCGTTTTCCCATCATTTTCCCTCTGCTCTGGCCTCCTTATTCCCTGAGATACAATATTCAAATTAGGCCAATTAATAGACCCTACAGTGGCCTTCATGTGGTTCAGTAAGAGTCACAGGTCTCTCACTTTAAATCAAAAACTAGAAATAATTTTCTTAATCCAGTCTATCATTGTTGGACATTTGGGTTGGTTCCAAGTCTTTGCTATTGTGAGCAGTGCTGCAGTAAACATACGTGTGCATGTGTCTTTATAGCAGCATGATTTATATTCCTTTGAGTATATACCCAGTAATGGGATGGCTGGGTCAAATGGTATTTCTAGTTCTAGATCCCTAAGGAATCACCACACTGTCTTCCACAATGGTTGAACTAGTTTACAGTCCCACCAACAGTGTAAAAGTGTTCCTATTTCTCCACATCCTCCCCAGCACATGTTGTTTCCTGACTTTTTAATGATTGCCATTCTAAACTCATAGGTGGGAATTGAACAATGAGAATACTTGGACACAGGAAGGGGAACATCACACACCGGGGCCTGTTGTGGGGTGGGGGTAGGGGGGAGGGATAGTGTTAGGAGATATACCTAATGTAAATGACGAGTTAATGGGTGAAGCACACCAACATGGCACATGTATACATATGTAACAAACCTGCACATTGTGCACATGTACCCTAGAACTTAAAGTATAATAAAATATATATATATAAACTAGAAATACTTAAGCTTACTAAGGAAGGCATGTCTAAAGCCAATATAGGCCAAAAGCTAGGCCTCAAGATTACTGATGATGGTTGCTATACTAAACAACAATTTTCAGTGTAGATGAAACAGTCTTGTAGTTGAAAAATAATCCATCTAGGACTTTCATAGGTAAAGAGGAGAAGTCAGTGTCTGACTTCAAAGCATCAAAGGACAGGCTGCCTCTCTTGTTAGGAGCTAATGCAGCTGGTGACATTAAGTTGAAGCCAATTTTCATTTACCATTCCAAAAATCATACAGCCCTTAAGATTTATGGTAAATCTGCTTTTCTTATGCTTTATAAATGGAAAAACAAAGCTGGATGACAGCACATTTGTCTAAATCAAGTTTTACTAAAAATTTTAAGCCCACTGTTGAGATCTACTGCTTTGAAAAAAAAGACTCCTTTCAACATATTATTGCTTGACAATACACCTAGTTATCTCAGAGCTCTGATGGAGATGTACAAGGAAGTTAATGTTGTTTTCATGCCTGCTAATGCAACATTCATTTTGTAGCCCATGAATCAGGAAGTATTTTCGACTTTCAAGTCTTATAATTTGAGAAATATATTTCATGAGGCTATAGCTGCCTTAGATAGTGATCCCTCTGACAGATCTGGGCAATGTAAACTGAAAACCTTCTGGAAAGGATTCACAATTATAGATGCCATTAAAAACATTAGTGGTTCATGAGAGGAGGTCAAAATATAAAAATTAACAAGAGTTTGGAAGAAGATGATTTCAACCCTCGTAGATGACTTTCAGGGGTTTAAAACTTTAGTGGAGGAAGTAACTGAAGATGTAGTAGAAATGGCAAGGGATCTAGAATTAGAAGTGAGGCCCAAAGAAGTGATTGAGTTTCTGGAACCTCAGGATGAGTAAAGAAAATGGTATTTTAAGATGGAATCTACATCTGGTGAAGATGCTGTGAACATTGTTGAAATAGCAACAAATATTATGAATATTATATAAACTTAGTTGATAAAGCAGCAGCAGGATTTCAGAGGACTAACTCCAATTTCGAACCAGTTCTACCATGGATAAAATGCTATTAAACAGCATCACATGCTACAGAGAAATCTTTCAGGAAAGGAAGAGTCAATCAATGCGGCAAACTTTATTGTTGTCTTGTATTAAGAAATTGCCACAGCCACTCTAACTTTCGGCAACCATCACCTTGATCAGTTGGCAGCCATCCAAACTGAAGGAAGAGCCTCCACCAGCCAAAAAGATTATAACTTGTTGAAGCCTCAGAAGATTGCTATTTTTTTAGCAATAAAGTATTTTTTCATGAAAGTATGTCCAGTGTTTTTTAGACATAATGCCATTGCACACTTAGTAGACTAATGTATAGTGCAAACATAACATATGCACTAGGAAACAAAAAAAACATGTGACTCCATTATGATATTTTCTTTATTGTGATACTTGCTTTGTTGGGATATTTGCTTCATTTTGGTGATCTGTGGCTGAACCTATGATATCTCTGAGATATGCCTGTCATTATTACAATAGGTAACACTGAAACTATTATTATTATCCTTATGGCTTAAAATGACAGCTCTCTGTGTTTACAAACCATCATTGACTCTTCATTGCCCCTGAGTTAAGCATAAGATTTTCAGTTTAGGGATTAGGAGCTCCACGAATAATACAGTCCCATCCTCTCTCTCCAGCTTCATCTTATATTATTTCCCAGTCACTCCTTGGACTCCTGCTAATTCCAGAAATCAACACTCCCAACCCTATTCTGGGCTTTTTAGTTTGTGTGTCATTCTTTACTTATGTTTTGCCCTTCCATTTTTAGTTTCTTGACCTGCCCAACTCTTCAAGAATGAACAATTTCATCCACTTTACTACCTATACAATATATCCTTTTATACTTTTGTTAATGTCACTTACCTTATTCAATTATAAAGTTGCTTGTATATTTGCATCTGTCTAGTGTCTAACAAAGTTAGCCAGACTGAAGTAAACAGTTAACAAATCAAATTACAAAGCATGTTTCTAAAAAATATAAGCTATTTTCTACCCTTTACAAGAGGAGATATGGATATAAACTAATGCATTTTTTGGTTTTAGACAAATTTGGATAATGTAAATACTTAAATATGATTATAGCACACATATTGTTGTTATATAGTTAAGCACATTCTCCTAGAACTTGCATATTTGAAGTTCTTCTAAATTTTGTAATATATAATGATGAATTTTAATATTTTATCTCGATTTCCAGGATATGCCTAATAAGGGACTGCTAAATCAGAACTATTTGACAGCCATAGTGGGGACTTAGGACTGAGTGAGGTATTGTGACCCAGCAATTGCTAGCCATTTTCAAAAATGGCCATTTCAATCTGCATCAGTCTACAAACATGGCTCCTTCTCTACTATGGTCCATACCTTGTCTAGGTTGAAACTTTATAAGAAGTGTCATAGACAGGAATTTAATGGTCATAGAAAGTTGTCAATTTGTTCTCTTATTAAGTAGTGTTTATTCATTTTTCCTTAACATCTTTCCCACAAGATACAGTGAATCCCTGTTTCTGCGAGATCCTCAATTTAAACCTTATTCAAGATATAACTCTTAATTTTACTTTCTATGCAAGTTTGATATGCTATATTCTTAACACAATCATGAAATGACAATTCTGTGTTCTATAGACTTTGTCCCTGGACTAATTTACATGATGCACTATAGCCCCCATTTAAGCTAAACCCATAAGTAGCTAAAGGCATATGACAGTGCACAGCAAATACATGTGTTACAAATATCCGTATGCAAAATACCCTGGTCAATAGTATGTGATTCAGGTAATAGATTCTGTGGAGGGACTCCAATGGATGGGGGAGGGTAAAAGTGCAGGAATTTACAAGTACGGGTTCCTTAAGAGAGATCATAACATTGACATAGTTACGAGATCTGGTTGGTGGCACAGCAGAAGTTGACGATATAATAGAAATGAATCTTTCGCTCTCTCTTTCCTCCTTTTTTCTAAATGCTTCCAGAGAAATAAGTAACTGTTGTATTGAAAACTTGCAAACCCATTCTGTGTTCCTGAGATATCTTTGCTATGTTATTATTGAACTTGGGCTATTCTTCATGTAAATGTTTTCATGGTAGTGGATCTTTACATGAATTAACTCACCTTCAAGATGACTGAGAGCTGTTAGTACATTCCCTCTCCTAGACACAGAAAAGACTTCTGTTTGTGATCGCTTATTCCCATATGACTGGTTTACTTATTTGAACATTTGGACCTTACTTTTCTGAGAAAGAAACTACTCTGGAGAGAAGTGGGATGATGAATCGGTATTACATAGTTTCAAACATGGGAATAAGCAAGGTAATAGCCTTTTCTGTCACTAGTATTTATTTAGAAAGTCACTTGGAGTTTTATAGCCAACTTCTGCCATACCTTCCAAAAGATTAAAAAAAGAGGAATCATGGTATGGGGTTCTTCCCCACAGAGACACTGCCTATTCCTTTGGGTGTACTAAATCTTAAAATGAGTTCTCACTCCTGCAGTCCAACAGCTCCCGAGATATTTCTAGCAATTTTCTGGGTGGCAGTTTACACTTATCAATGATTGCTATGAGAACTCAAAAGTGAGAAGAGCATAAAATTAGAGAAACAAGAATTCTCTTCATTGCTAGATTGATCAATAACCTTAGGGACCATAGCTTCATGTCTTTTCTTCTCAAACACACAGAAGATATCAAGAAAAAGATAATAAAACCAAAATGAAAACCATGGGAGTTGTAAAAGTTTTTCAGAATAGGAATAAATTACACCATGACATATGGAGGCAAAAGTATAGAGACTGCTGAATTACAAGACACACAAACAGTTTCAATGTGTTTAAGCATGTCTCAAAAATTTAAAGGATCTCATTAAACAATGCTAGGTAACTTTCTTTCAAGTAGGTGTTATTGGTATTTAAAAAAGTATCAAGATAGTTGCTAGGGGGCAAACTAGCCTTTTGACAGAAACTGGCGATATGGAAAAACACATTAGAGAATCTCCTTCTAAGTTTTACTGTCTGAGAAATTTAGTTTTGCCAGGGCACACAGTATGGCCACATTTAGGGAGAATGACAGAAGCAAAACAAAGTTGGAGGAAACTAACATCTAACTTAGCCTAACAGAAGGATTTACAAAAGGCAGTGAGCATTCCTTGTGTAATAGATATTTACATTTACGCTCTAGGGCAATGTCTATACATATCAGGGTATTTGGGAAGCAAATTTAGTAATAAGAAATTCTTTAGGTCACCAGGGATGATTTGTTTTAAGACTAATTCATTTAATAAAACAACAAAATGTGATTAAAACTATTTCCATCCTTTTATAACTAACATCTCGTATGGCAGGCACAGGAGTGTGCCAGGTTCAGACTTTCCCCTCCTTAGTCAATGTTAGGTGAACGGTGGTACAATCTTATTTTTTACTCTCCTTTTTCCCAGTGTCCTTGCATGTGTCCAATCTTTTGTTAATATTAATAGGATTCTTCAGAAACGGTATATAATAAATAGTGAGGTATTTCTTTCCTTCCTCTGCCCTCCCCTTATGCCCTCTTTCTCCCTCCCCTCACCTCCCCTTCCCTCCCCTTCCCTTCCATTTCTTTCTTCTTTCCATCCTCCTTTCCTCCCTGCTTCCCTCCCTTCTCTCTTTCTTCAAAACCTGTACTTGGTTGTAATTTTATGAAGAAACACTTTAAACATAAAATGTAGAATGTATAACAGACACACATGCTTTGTTCCCCTTCTAGCTTAAATAAATAATATTTATTTGCCGTTAAATGTGGGTTTGAGGTTTATGCCCTTTGTCAGTTTAAGGAAATTCTTTACTATCTCATTTGCTAACAGTTTTTCTACTGAATGAGTGAATCATATTTCCATTTCTGGTACTGGCAATGTTTGATGATGGGGCATTGTTATTTTTTGCTCTGATAAATTTGATTTGCTCTTATTTAGGAATTTAGCTGCTATTTCAAAAACTGGGTCTGGTGTGTTTATTGTATTTCTTTGCATAATTTTGATTTTGGATTATAAATTCATTATAGAATGAGTTGGATACCTTTGTTTTTTAGTCTTTGAAACAATTTGCATTGTATAAATTTATCTGTTTTTAGAGATTTAGATTTGTTAAAGGTTTTCTTGAAATTATGTGACCTGAGCTTTTTGAAGAGTTATGTGTGTATATGTGTGTGTGTTTGTGTGTGTCAGGGGGACATAGGGGTGTTGGTGAATCATTTTGTAATGGGCTGGGGAAATGGGGTTTTAGCTATTAATTATATTTAATTAATAATTGTTATTTTATTTTTATTTTAAATTCTAAGTCAATTTTAAAAATCTCTTATGTATATTTAATTTTATCTGGGTTGTCAATTTATTTATATAATATTTTTGTGTTATTCTGTTTTAAAATCTTTACTCTGTTGGTAAGTCCTAGTTTTTAAACTATATATTATTTGTAACATTACTCATTTTACTAGTAATATCTATATTAATATTAATAGTTTTAAAGAACCAACTTTTTGTTTTATTAATCTTCTCTAGTGTTTTTCTGTATTTTCATTGATTTCTGGTTTTGCTTTAAGTATTTCTATTTCTTTCTAGGTTTATTTTGTTAATTTTATTTTGACTCACTGAGTTGAAGATTTGACCAATTTTAATATTTCTTATTATGTAATAAATACATTTAGGATTTTATATTACCTCTGATTAAGACCTTAGCCAGTTTGTTATAGGAAACTTATAATACTATGCAAGTCTTTAGGTTTAAATGTGTTATTGTTTTCATTGTAATATCCTAATTAATCTGAGTAATAGAAGTTTATATTTGTTTCTAAATGTTATATAAGCACTTAAAAATTAATTTCTAATTTAATTTTATGGTAGTAATAAAGTCTGACATTTATTATTTAATATTTGTTATTGTTGTGATCTTGAACACTATGGACCAAGATTTAAAGCTGTTTAAATAGTAAGTCCAGTGAAAATTCTGCTTTATAAAGGTTAATGTAATTTAGTTTCTGGTTCAACCCACAATGAAACATCTAACTTTTCCCTTCTATTTAGAAAAAAAAATACTCTTCTAGTGTTTTTTCACTTGCAGTCACTTCAGGTGGGATGTATAGATGTGATACAGCAAGTTATAGAGAATAAGAGAATGAGCTTTAGCAACATGCAGCTTTGGTTTGAGTCTTATTCTGATACTATGATATTGGGCAAGTAATTTGAAATCTCAATATTTGCTCTTTAATTTATCCATTTGGAGCTTATATATTTTTAAATACCATCCCCTACTGCTATAGAAGAGCATGCGTTGCTCCATGCTCTCAAAGAAGTGTGCAGACAGATGATTGTACTAGGTGAGAAGGTAGGCCTGTTCGCTGCTTGGCCATCTTTCCTAGTGTAACATTATGAGGTTATCATAAGTCAAAATGGCTACTTTCCTAGACCAGGTACAAACTTTCTGATAAAATTTGCTAGTAGAAGACTTAAAAAGGCAGTTTTCTTTCCACATTGATATTCAGATGAATGATATACAGACTTCAACTTTTCCTCTCTTCCTCTAATAAGATAGTAGGACATGAGTGTGGTGATTTTTGTTTTCCACTACTTGTTGTCGAAAACACTGGAATTTGCAGTTTTTTAAGTCTCCCTTTTGGGAGCCATGAAATTAGCAATGTTTGTGCATGTATGAGGAAGTATCTTTATTGTCCATTAACTTTGGTTTTTATCAGCTTCTATTGTTATTTTGGGAATACGGATTCCCTAGCCCCTGATGGGGCACAGGTCTTTGAGTTCTGAATCTGAAATGTTTGGTGTTTTGTGGGAAGCTGGGGAGCCTCCAGGACCTCCACAGTTCACTCCTGTCCCTGTGAGACAGCCTGTTACATGCTGGCATAGGCCAGGCAGCTCACAGCTGTGACTCATCTGCTGATGTGTTCCCTCAGGCTCTCCCAGAGTAGCTGCGGTAAGTGGAATAGTGCATATTGAAAATCTGGACACATGTTACACATTTCTCAATACCACCCGACTGAGGGAACAAGGGTAAGTGTGGCAAAATATGCCACCCCGAAATATGCCACTTTGGCGTAAAGGTAACTTTGATCTAAATGCACTTGAAAAACAGCAAATGCATGAGAGGCGTCCTAATCTCCCCTTTTCTGAAAACAGGAGATTAAAAACTCCCTTGTGAAAGTTCCCTTACACCATGAGGAGGTAAACATTCTTCAGTGGGGAGTCATAGCCCAGAGAATTTTGTGCAAACAGACCTTGTCAAAATAATTCTTGTCATCTTTTAGCTTCCCCACAGAATTTAGTTACTTTTCCACAATTGCCTCTCTGTTTTCAACCTAATATATTAGCTTTTAGGTTTTGTCAATTTTTGGGTCTTCTTTTCCTTATTAGGGCTCCCGTATTACATAAAATTTATATTAAATTTCTATGCTTTTCTCTGGTTAATCTGACTTATGTCAATTTAATTATTAGGTTCTGTCTAAAACCCTAGGAGGGTAGAGGTAAAATTTTGTCTCCCTGACAAGGGTAAAGTGAGGAAGTATTTTCTTTCCTTTTTCATGAATAGCATTTCCCTGGGTTCTGGGGTGAGGGAGCAGATTTTTGTATTTTTTTTTATCTCACAAAAGTTTTATTTACAAAGTTTCCATATTTTTGTGGTTGTTTCAAATAGTTGTTTTAAGCTTTTGTGGAGGTTTTGCTTATATCTGCAGATTTAGCATCAGTAGGCATATATTAAGCTTGATAGCAACTTAAAAATAAGGAGACCACAAATGTTTGAACTATTTTCCAGGTGACATCTGTTAATAATGCAATATATTTAGAAATATGGTAACTGAGGTTTTCATAATCAGTTTAGGTCTTCAATATTTCTGTGGAGTATGGAGAGCAGAAATCAAGCAGTGTTCTTAAGATGAGGATCTGTCTATAGGTTTTAAAGTAACTTTTACTTCTCAAGGAAATGAAATGGGAACAGCAGAATTGTGAGACCCCTGTAGAGGTCATGTTTGGACAAATATATCTTCATTTGTTAAATTGTGTACATGTTTACAGCAAGCCTGGCTTTCAGCAGCAGGCAGTGAATTCCTACTCAAATGTTTCCTTTACACAATCATTCTTAGCTTCCAAGTGAGCAAAAGGAAACTGCTATTTATTTTGAATTTGTTATTTAGCTTATTGTGACTAGATATATACCCAACTATAATTTTTTTAATTCTGTGGATTATTAAAAACAAGGTTTTGCCAATTTTCTTAGAAATGTAAAAAAAATGGGAAATAGAGAAAGTAGTGAGCTATGAGAGACAGGATGGGGGAGGCAGAAGGGAAAAAGAAATGAGAGGTTGTTCTCTGTAGTTAATGCATTTGTCTTAGAAGAAAATTTTAAAGAAGAAAAAAAGTGGCTTGCTTTAAGTACATGACAGGTGCCCAGATTTTATCTAATATTAAAAATCATGACGTGTCATATGGTTGTCAGGAATCTGAGATAATATTAACTTTTATTTCACGACAGTGCTCTGCCACTGCTGATTTTACATTTAACACAGAGTCCATTTCTTCATCTCCCCTTAAGAGCCAGCCAATTCAAGATTTATTGATTTGGTGTCAATCAAATATGGTTTATCTTCTCAGTCTTTGCCTTACCTAATTGTTGGCAGCCCTTGGAAGAGAGGATACTGTTAACCTTCGGAATGTGCATGAAGGCTTGGCGAGTGAGGTAGGAAAGGTTTAGCTGAGCCAGTTTGGTTGGAACACCAGTGCCCATTGAGAGAGAGTTCTAGGTCATGGTGCTTCATCTGCAGTGAGGGTGGCCAGAAAGAGATCCTCTAAAACTTCATACGCATCAGGAGATGCGAGAAGCGGTGATTACAATGCTGGGAAAAATGCCAGAACTGTATGTATGTGTGTGTGTGTGTGTGTGTGTGTGTGTGTTGGGGGGCGTGATATTGCAACCCTGGCATTTTGTAAAAAAAAAAAAAAAAAAGTGAAAATATATTTAACAGAATTAACAATCTCCTTGCTTCATGCTTTTCAAATGCTAATATTTGAAAAATGTATCGAATGTGAAGTTATGAAAAATATAAAAGTTAAATTAAAAATATGATTAAAATATACATTACTGGCCACTAAATCACATCTCTGTACTGTGCTGTTTGCTGTAACTCCGATCCTTTACTGTCTGAGACTACTACAGTCACCTGGAGTGGAATCCTCTAATGTGGCCACTCCAGTTGACCTTTGGTGTCTTCCTGTCATTTAGCAATCCTGTATAGACTTGGCATTACTATTGCCTCTCTGGCTGCTCATGATGGAGGGTCCAATTTCAGCAATTTTGATTTCTTTCCTAGGTATCCACAGAGATATGGTCATGTCCTCAGTCTCTCCTTCCCTTTCCAGTTGATACATGTGCTCGTGCTACAAGCTTTTCCAGCCAGGTCCTCCTTGGCTGTCTGTGTGATGATGAAGTGGGGTTAGAGGGAAGGATAAGAAAAAATTGGAGGAGATAGGGAACTGTAGGAGCTCAGTGATAAAGAATAACCCAAACAACTTGCAGTGGGATGTCAAGAGTGGTGGCGGGGCAGGTAGTGGAGCAGAAGAGAAGTCTATTTGAGAGAGAGAGATAAATGACCAAGTAAACTGCTTACCAATGTCTCCAACATTTACATGATGACAACAGAAGCATTGATGTTTCATTTTTTTTGTTTAAGAAATAGCAAGGTGAAAGGTGAAGGCCTTCAACCTTGGGTGCACACTGGGAAGCTTTAAAAATACTGAGTCTTGGGTCCCATCCATCAAGAGATACTGATTTACTTGGTTAGGATTGTTGCTCTATCATCAAAAGTTTATAACTCTTCCTGGAAGTTCTCATATTCTGCCAAGGTTGAGAACTACAGTTAAGTGAATACCAGGATTTGATTATAATCAGTAAATTATTTTTATTTTAACCAAAGAGAAAGAGGTTCATCTTTAAGAGGCATTTTTAAGGTACCAGACACAGTGGTGAATACTTATATTATTAACTTTTTAAAAAAATTATCATAGTAACATTGTGAAGTGGGGATAATCAACCTCTTCAATAGGTGAAGGAAGTGAGGCCTACAGAGAAGTAATTTGCCCAAGGTGACACAGTTTGTGGAGGTGAAACAACCAGCTGGGACTCAATCACAGGTCTTTGTGATTTGTCTTTTTCCTTATCTTTCCTTTAAGACCCAGTTGGGAATTATAGATAGGTATCATGGATTGCTTGAGGACCTAATATTTTTCATGCTTTATGTCTAGGAATAAGAAAAAATAAATTCTATGTGTTCTAATTACCATAACCCCCAAGATTGTCTAAAATTAGGAGCCAACAAATTATAACCCAGCATCTATTTTTTACACAACCTATGAAGAAAGAATGTTTTTCATCTTTTTAAATGGTTGAAAAAAATTAAGGAAGAATCTTTCATGACCTGTGAAAATGATATAAAATTATAAATTTGGTGACCACAAAGAAAGTCTTATTGAAACAAATTAATTTGCTTTTGTGTTGTCTATAGCTCCTTTCACATTATAATAGCAGGATCAATTTTGGCGGAGACCATTTTATGTCCAGCAAAACCTAAACTATTTACTATCTTTCCATTTACAGAAAAAGTTTATTGACTTTTTCTCTATATGAAAACCTTATAAATATAAATAAATAAAAAAGCTGATATATCCTGCAGAGAATTCCCTTTCACATTAAAAAATATTTAACAATACAAAACAATTTACAAGTTTCCTTTAAGGTATAAACTCCCCCAGTGACTTGAAATGTTGGTATGAAAATCATTACATGATCACTGTTCTCATCATTCCTTCTAAGAGATCAACTTTTTAAGATTCATATATGAGTGAGATCATGAAGTATTTGTTTTTCTGTGTCTGGTTTATTTCACTTAACATAGTAACCTCTAGATTCATACTTGTTGTTGCAAATAAAAGAATTTTGTTTTTAGTGGCTGATTACTATTCCATTATATATTTATACTACATTTTCTTTATTCATTCATCTATTGTTGGACACTTAGGTTGATTCCAAAGGTTATTATGTGTCAATTAGAAATTAAAATTAGGTGACCCTGGGGGTCAGTTCTTAGAGAAATATAAAGCCAAAGTACCATGAACCATTATTCACTGATTGATCATAGGAAAATGTAAAACCTTTGCAGTTCACATCACTAACAACTGAATATTTATTGTAGTAACTCCATTCACTTTTAGTTTTACTTGTGAATTAAGCAAATCACTGCATAGTTCTGTTTCTATTTTTGGCATCATATAGCTTTTACCAAAATTTCTATTTTCTTAAATATTGTTGTATACATTAATTTTTTTTCTGAAATGCATCATCAGTAATATGCTGTCTTTAGTGGAGCAACTATACCAAGAGTTTCTCAACATGTGTTCCTTCAAGCACATGCATGAGAATCACAGATCATGCTTGTTTTAAATAGAGATTCCAGGGTTATAGGCCAGACCAACTGATTCAGAATTTCTGAGGGGTGGGTTCAAGGTTTTGCCTTTCAACAAGCTCACCAGGTAAATCTCATGCACCTTGTAGACTGAGAATTTCATGCTACATCATGGGTGAGAATATTCGCAACCATACTAGAGGCATAAATTTGGAGGAGTATGCAAACAGGGTGTAGAGACTCCTGCAGAGAAGTAGAGTTATATCAGGTCTCTGTATCCTCATGTGGTGTGATTGGAAGCTAATATGAAAGCAATCTTGCTAATAAGAAGTAGAATCACCCAAGGGGGCAAAGAAATAATAGAGATGAGGAAACTCGTTAAAATAATGGAAGCTAAGATGGAAAGCTGCTAGTTTTCTTCTGCTTCATGAGCATATGGTTGATCTTAAGGCCACCCGCCTTCCTGGCACCCCTTCTTCATTGTGGAAATGGCAAACTGTGCCAGGCATTTATATTTGCTCCTCCAGATTCAACTGTATCCCTTTCTACCTTTTCCGTTAGCCACCTGGGGAGGCTGAGCTGTATTGACTACTATGAGAGGCTCTTCCCTCTGGCTTCTGGTGGGGTTTTCAGTGAAGTGCCTCAGCAGAAAATGAGAGGTAGGGAGGAGAGTGGGACTCTCTAACTGTGAAGCTAGCTCTATGTCAGTAGACTGAAAGTTATTGCTCTACTCAAGGTGGCCTTTTCTACATGATGCTCCACTGTCAGGTTGTATTATACACTTTTCCATTGTTCTCTTTGGTCTAAAGATAGTAATAGCTCTGTGGTTGCTAACCCCAGGTTAACTACATTTGTGTGTGTGTGTGTGTGTTTTCCTAGAATCTGCTGACTTGTTTATAAATTTGAAACCATCCTTATGACATCAGTTTTCTGTTTGGACCCTACTGAAACAGGAACCCAATGTTACATGTCAGAGTCCAAAAGGAGAGGAGGCATCATTTTCTCAGTGAGCAAAGTTTTATTTTATCAGTATGACAAGCTCGTTATTGTCTTGGAACCCTCTGACGTTCTATTCTTTCTGCTCAAGACTCTGTTCCCATGATTTGTTTGTCTAGCTAATTCCTGGTCATTTTAGAATTTTTACTTCAAAAGCCACTTTCTCATAGATGCCTTGAGTGGCTCCTCCCAACTAAACCAGTTTCCTATTATAATTTCTCATAATATGCTGTTTCCTTTATTGTACTCATCCATATTATAAGTAAATTTTTATACATTATCCTTGGGTTATCTACCACGCTTGACTCTAATCTCTGGGAGGACTCTGACAAAACCTTCCTTTTGCAGATGCTTACTCAAATTTTGTTTAATAAGTGAATGAATAAAATACAGGTGTCGTAGAAAAGTTCACTAAGTTGGCTTTTTTCCCCTGGGAAAACTTATGAATATATATAAACTATATATATCAACATGCTATTTTCAGTGCTTCCATAAACCCACATCTTTTCATTTGACCAATTACACTAATGCTCACATGGACGTAAATGTCTCAGGTTAAAGGTAATTAACTTATTTGTCTCAAAGATGCTTGTTTGTTTTATGAGACATTTGCTATAAGAGAGAAGGCAAAAACCTATTGTCGAATAAACTGTCAATAGTTTATAAAGCAATAATAAACCATATTAAAGAACAATTGCATGGCAATTAAAGACTGATGCTGGCTTGAACTCTGAATAGGCATTTGCATTTTCCCAACAAATGGAAAAAAGGTCAATGGGATCCATCCTTCCCATTTTCTTCTCTCCAAAGTGTTTCTAATCAGAGTTATTAGCAGACATCTATTTATATTAAAAGGCATTCCTGTACAGAATCAAAGTGCTATACATTTTTATGAGGCAAACTTGCCAAGATTGCCATTTTTTATTTGCTGCAATGAAAGCAACTTCTAGAAATTCTCTTTCTAGATATTTTGTAACATTTCCTAAATTGGTAGCGTAGATTAGAAGGAAAACAAATTAATCAGTCCAAATATTTGAAGGTAGAATGAATACTGAGGACTCCTTTAGGTAATGCCCCATTTTTAAAATTCCAATTCCTCATAATGTGAATTTTGATTTCTTTATAGTCGAAGACTTGGAGGATAGTTAAGATTCCCCCACAGATCTGTAAAAGATATCAGTCTTCCTTTTGTTTGCATTTCTCATTTTATCAGTTCACAGTCCCCACCTTGCTTTAGTTTTTCCCTGCATGGAGCAGAATGCCCAGGTCTCAAGGACTCATCTGGTTCTCTTCTTGACGGGCTGCAGTCAATGCAGTTTCCCTCTTGCTAGCTGCCACCCCAGGCTGAGAAATTATGCAGCTAACTACGCTTCTCCAAGTCATCACACGCCTAGAGACATCTTTCTGCATTGTACCAAATGTCACTGTAAAGAAAAAGAAAATCAGAATCTTCCTGCATTTCTGTATGGGCTGGTGTTCCTCCTTTATGAGTAATTTCAGGGATCAAGAGAATATTATAGGCCCTATTTAAAAACAATTTCCCTGTATGGGGTAGCACACAGCACAATGTTAATCATTTATATTTCAATGTGAATAAGACTGCCAGATGCATTTTGAAAGCAGATTTTTATAAGGAGTGACTTGGTGTTGGGGGGGGTGGTGCAGAGAAAACATGAGGCCTATGTGAAGCCCACAGCAGCAGAAAGGAGACATGGGGGTTCTCAACCTATTGTCTACTGTCCCCTAGATACATCCCTTACTTCAGTCTAATTTCAACGAACATTATTCTATTTTGTCAAGTACTGAATGTGTTCCAAATAAAATAATATGCCATGAATTTTCTCTATCTATGACCATGCCAGAGAAGCAGTTACCTCATTATTAACGACCTTTCAATCTTTCAATGTGTATATATATATATGCACAAGTTTTAGACTTGCCATTATTCATATACAGGTATATTATATATATAATATATATGTATATTTTCCTTAATATGAGTTAAAATAGTATGTGGATTCAGCATTATACAAGGCAGTAGGATGTATAGCCCTGTAAGAACACAATAATATGTGTGACTTTGTACCATTACCTTTCAGGAAATGCATGAGTAACATTTACGTAGCACTTCAAAATTTGTACCTCCATCTAGTGGTAACTGATAGAAACAACATATTTTTAAACCATTTGATTTTGGAGGCACTGGGAGAAGAAAAATGGAAAAAGCTCTTGGTCAACCAGCACCTGTTATGAATTCAGTAACATTTTGATATTGAATAGAAAACACACAGTGAAGGTAAACATGTGGTAGGCAAAGGGAAGCAAAGGAATTTAACACAATGAATGGCTGCATAGGCTAAATTTATTCAGGATGGTTAAGCCAGGATTTCTAGCAGTGCTTATATTGGGAAGATCACATAGGATGAAACGATGGCTGGTTTATTTTGAACATGAAGAGGAGGGTCAGGGAATTACTCCCATGTGATCTTCTTGCTGAGAACATCACCTAATGGCCAGCCTTCTCCATGACTTCCCAGAGTCAGTGTCCTTGATGGCAAATAATGTTTCAGATAGGTAATTTGGGGACATGAAAGAATCTGTTGGTTTCCTTAAGTGTCTCATTTTAAATCCTAGTGAGTTGGAATCTCAATAAAATTATATCTCAAATTGATATAGAAGAAAAGGATATCTGCTTATAGACTCTGAGGCTGCCAAGGAGTAACTCTTAGTTAAGAGAGCAATGTGTTAAAAATGTGTAAGTTTTCCGTCATCAATTTTCCCAGAGGTCTTTTCACATGAATTCTTCCAAGGATAAGGTAGAACAAGTTTTTGAGATAGACAATCTGGGTTTATTTTTTAACATAAAAAAGACAAAATTTTCTTTATTTTATCTTGTTTTATGTGATACAAGAAAGGATTGCTTAGCTTGATTACATTTCATATAACTTCCTTTCCACTATGGATTGGAAAAACTAGTAGCTCTAATAAACTTGACAACCAAAACATTTATAGTCACATGATTTATACAAAGTTCATGCTGTTTGACATTGCAGATGCCACCACTGCTCGAAGCCGCATGTCATCAGCTATGGTCAATCCCACCATGCTTGTACATTGTGGCCTTATGGTAAACCTTTAGTCTGTGTCTCTTCAAGCTGTTTTCAAAGTTTCAAAGAAAGCAGAAAACTTTTGTGCTCTGAGCACTGGAGAGGAAAGCTTTGCTTGTAAGGGTTCCTGCTTTCACAGAATTATTATAGGATTTGTCTGCCAGGGTGGATATTTCAAACACCCTAATGACACTGGCAGCAAGTCACTCTACCACGGGAAATCTGATGGTGAGAACTTCATCCTGAGCATGCAGGTCCTGGAATCTTGTCCATGGAGAATACCAGACCCAACACAAACAGTGCCTAGTTTTTCACTGCATTGCCAAGACTGAGTGGTTGGATAGCAATCATGTGGTCTTTGGCAAGGTAAAAGAGCATGAATATCATGGAAGCCATGGAGTGCTTTGGGTTCAGGAATGACAAGACCAGCAAGATTACCATTGCTGACTGTGGAAAACTCTAATAAAGTTGACTTGTGTTTTATCTTAACCACTGGGCCATACCTTCTGTAGCTCAAGAGAGCACCCCTCCACCCCATAGGCTGGCAATATCCTGTATCTTTGTGCTTTTGCTGCAATTCTTTGGGTTCCATATTTTCCTTATTCCCCTTCACATCTTGCTGGATTGCAGAGTTAAGTCTATAATTATGAAATAATAACTAAATAACCAAAATTGAAAAAAATAAAGCTCGTGCTGTTTAGTGTGAATTGCCTCATTGTTGTAAAACTCTTAAGAGTCACTTGTAAGTGCTGTTTCTTAGGCATTGCCTGCACTGGCAGAATACAATCACCTGGAAAACCCGTTGCCCAAAGAACTTACCTCTCATTCCATGGACAATTAGTAAGATTTTTATATTTTAATTTTATGTTTGAATTCATGACTTGCACCATAAGTATTTTGTTTCTTGACTTGATCTTGCTTATTTGGTCACTCACAATACAATGGTGATAATGACAATACCTCAACTTTCTTTTGAATATTTATTTATTCACTCATTTATTTTGATTTTATTTTAAAAATTCCTTCTGATTTAAATGGCTTTTGGATCAAGCACATGCTTTTTTTCTGTCTATTTATGCATTTTTTTAACAAATGCTTATTCATCATGTTCAGTATCTTGTCTGGAGTTATTTTATGGGCGAGAGGCACTCTGTGTGTGTTGTTGCCTCAAAAATATCTATACCAAATGTGAAAGGTGTAATAACCCCTGTCATAATGTTTAGCTTTGAGGACTTCTTACCTTTCTTTTAGTTTTCGAAAGATTCCTGCAAATGGTTAGACTGTTTGCAGTCATAACTTACCTTCCCTGCAGGATTCTGCCAGCTATAGAAGCAGCACCTTCCTGCCGGCTCTTACCTGCCCAATTCTGTCCCTCTGAGGGAAGATCCCACCGTCTGTGGGAAAACACACTGATAAGCCTGAGTGATAGCCCAGGGCAGTTGTTTGTGGGGTCTATAAAAGAGCTTAGGCACTTAGGCTAGGTTGTTCACATTGTATCTGAGAGGCCACCTGCAATGTTGGGCAGAGCCTGGGTAGAAAAAAAAGTGGGTGAGCTGCAGGCTATTGGCCAGAGGCGAGTCAACCACTTCCAGTGCTGTCAAGCTGAGAATCTTATGAAGACAGGAGGATAGAACATATTTTATTTGGCAGTCTAGTAGTTCTACTTATAAATGTTAATTATTTAGATGTATGTTACCTTGATTTCATTTTTTCTCTTGCCCCAGTCCCACAAAGTTTAGTATGTTTCTGATAGTGTCTTTCCAAGTGCTACCTCTGCTCTGCCCCCGCTCTGCTGGGTCCCACTGTCTCTTACCTGCTTCCTGGGTCCCACTGTTGCTCTCCCCAGTGGCTCTGTAGCTACTTCACCAGGCATCAGGCCTTTTATTTCTCTGCCTCTTTGTGGGTACTAGAACCCTCCTAGTAGAGAGGTACACTTGGCTCCAGGTTTGTCTTAATGTTGTCAACTCTCAGAGGTGAATCCAAGCAGTGCTGCATGTGCCTCAGCATTTGGAAGAGACATTGGGTGAAATAGTTCCTTTTGCTTTACACACAAACTTCTCATATCTCAGATATGAGTCCAGTAAAGACAGACAAATCCCTGAGAGAGAGAGAGAGAGAACGAGATTCAAGTTAAGTAATTTGCCTAAAGTCATATGGACATGTGACAGAACTTTGCTTAAACCCATGTTTTTGACTTCAAATATAAACTCTGTATGTGATATTATGCTGTCACTTGTTTTTATTTTATTATCACTTAATTATTGCCTTTTGAATTATTTGCTAATTGTTTTACTTGTATTTATTTGCCTTGTCTATTAAGACTGTAAACATTTGAGGGCAAAGTCAAACATTGCCAGGGCACTGTATCTCCCATGGCACAGAGAATAATGCTGAGAACATAATAGATGCTCAGAATAAATTATTGGAAAGCATAAGCTTTGTCTTTGGGATAATAATCTGCTGTGTCAGACAGAAAGGCTTCAGAGTGAAAGAAACCTGTATTTATGTTCCTGTAACACAACTTTCTATTTGTGAGAATGTGGGCAAATTGCTTAATCGAAGACTCTTTCTTCAGCTCCAAAATGGGCATAGTAGAAAAATGTACCTAATGGGATGATTGTAATAATTAAATGATATAATGTAGGTAACACACTGACAACAAGTCTCTTAATAAATATTCCAGCTAGCACCATCATAATTTTCTTATCAAATTTCAGAAATCATAAGCCAGATAATATTTTGCCATTTTATGAAGAAGTCAATTTGCCTGACAAGTGGACAAGAACTCACTTTGGGCCTGGTATATGTGTATTGCAATCAACTGTTCCCATTAACTCTGTGAATATTTTGATGATGTTTACAGCTCCAAAGAATCTATTTCTTCATTAACATTAGTGATAAAAACTCAGTAGATACCAAGAATATGTTGCCTAGAGTCCTATGGATCATGAAGAGTTCATGCATACTCATTTCTGGAAGTGGTGATGCGGCACTCAGATGGGATCAGCTAGCACAAACAGGAGAACCATAGCCCCAGTTTCACCTCAGCCCACTCAGTTTTACAGAGAAAACCTTCAGCAACACCTGTGGCATGATCTGCAGCCCTGGGTCAACCAACTTTCATTTCTTAGTAAACTCATTTCCACACTACAAAAAAATCAAACTGTGCTCCTCTCTTATCTAAGAAACTAGGGCTTGTTTTCTCTTTTTTAAGAGGGAAATTACAAAAGCTGTTTTTATTGTTAATGGAACTCCAAGGGATCCATTTTTCCATCTTATCATAATTCTAGAAATTAACACTTGCTTGGCACCTCAATGTCTTAAGAAGAAAGCACTGTTTAAAAATAAAGTGCCCTGCATTTCTTATTTTTATGTTGGTATCTTTTATATATATACATTATAGAGTATTTTATAATATGGGAACTAACACAGAAAATAAAAAGTACACACAATTACATCCTCAGCATCAACCATGGTTAAAGATTGATATAGTTCTTGGCCTTTCTCTAAACACACGCAAACATACATACCTATACACGTAGTATTTTTAATAATTTGCAGCATACTAAATATTGTTTTGCATCCCTTGCCTTTAGTCACTCAGTATTATAGAGTAGGCTTTTGATATTACTATTTTTTTCAAGAATAATCTCAAAAGATTAATGTCATATGTGTCATATTTATTAGCGTTATTTCAGAATTTTTTGAGGACAGAAACCCTGCGTAGTTCCCTCGCCGTATACAGTTCAGTGCCAAATATCTGTGTTGAAAACCATAACAAGCACTTCTTTCCTTGCACGCCTCCCGTCATGTCTGCCTATTCCCACCAAAAGTAGAATTTCTCGTTTTTGATACAGGCCACCTGGCCAGTTGAAGAAACCTATTTAAAGAATTGACTGCAGTTCAGCATCTATCTTTCAGCTGCAGCGATAGATGGTTTATTGTGCAAAATAAAAGGTTTCGGTATTCAGCTGACAGAGAAAGTAGAAACCTCTTTCTTTGTTGACAGAAATAAAATGTGTCGTGTCATAGGTGTTGATATAACATATTAATCGCCCCTGCTGGGGAACATAGGCACCCTGACGCGGTGTGCTATAAATATTGATGTGATCACCCCAAACTGGCAGGATGCCTGGGAAGCCATGAGAGGTTTAGATAAAGGATTTTCCTAAAGGTGTGCCCAATTGCTTCCCACACTTCTTTCCCCACCCTCTACTTTGGAATCTACATAACTCCAACTAAGTCTTCCCCGTTGATTCCCCAGCCTGAAAAATCATTCCAGGTGTCCTCTGTATAGTGCTGAATCCTCCACCCCTTCTCGAACACAGCACCTAATCCTTTTATCTTTAACATTTTGTGTAGTTTTGACAGCACTAGCAGCTTCCCCCAGTTGGCTGCCTAGCAGGTGTAGTAAAAGGATGCCTGGCATCAGCTGCTGGTGAGGAAGCAGCCAGGCCATTTTAGCTGCAGGGGCAGAATTTTATGCTGTGATGTTCTTTTCAGTTCAGGGGACACTTTCCAGTAATCAAGTTGACAACCATTCTTAAAGTCACATGCCAGTCAGAAAATTGTTCTGTTTCTGAAGACTGAGCAAATGCTGATGCTCACAGTGGCAAAAGGCCAGTTCTCTTGTGGCAGATTTGTTGTTTCACTACTGTTTATTAATCTTCACCAACCACAAGAGTGAAGGTCAAAGTAGAGTCTCATCATTTAATCAGAAGTATACATTACTTCAGCGGACTGCATTGCAGATTACTTCTGCAATTATATACACATTTTTTATCCAAAATTATTAAGTACCCAATATATGTCAGGCACTGTTCTACAAGTATGTGGATACAGGGATGAGCAAGTGGAGAAGACAGATGAGGTCCTGCTTTCAGCTTGTCTTCTGACTACAGCACCTCCAAATAAAAAATAAGGAATATATCATTTATAAAGACTATTTGTAACACTAAAATAGAACAGAAGAGTGGGTGGTTACTGTAGACTGGGGTCAGAAGTACTCTGAAGTGTAAGTTTTTAAAAGTTTTCAAAACATTACAGATGAGAATTGTTTCAGGCAGCATGAATAGCTCACGCAAAGTTTTAATGAAGATTTAATGCAAGAATGTTTTTGAGGAACAGGCGGAAGCCAAGTTTGGTTAATACCTTTGACTGTTTTTAAATATTAAATGATAACAAAGGCAAAGCTGATTTAGCATATTTGGAAGGAGAATGAAGGAACCACAAAGAAATTGTGTGGCTGCAATTCTTTAAGAATATTTTATAGAGATATTTAATATAAGAATATTTACTTTAAGCCCTTCAAGCAAAGGTCTGGGAGACTAAGATTAAAAGCACATGGCAAGATCACCCAGTCTCATCCAAGATGAGGTTGTTGTTGGGTAAGAGGCTCTGTGTTGGATCGCCTGCAGGAGTTTCACCTCAACAGGCTGTCTGAGGATCCTAGTTTGGATGAAAACCCATTTTCCTTGGAAAGCAATGACAATTCCCTTCTTTTGTATTTGCTTTTAGTTCTTGGCATAAAAGTTAATAAATGTTGCATGTTCAGATTTTATAGATGATACCAGTGTACAAGCAAATGTGAAAAATTTGATTCCCTACTTGGAAACCTATAGTAGCTGGAAAGCTCTGTAGAATGTCTTGTCCTAGTGGACACCATTTCTGCCACTCTGAAGCACTTGGAGAAATAGATGTCTATGGCAGGAAAAGACAGATGATTCAGAATATCACTTAACATTGACTTAAACCTTCATTTTTTGATATTTGGAAATGAATACTCTCTGAGGAATATCAATGAATTGTAGTGACTAGACTAATTTAATTCAACTTTCTTTTGTAATCTCATAAATACACTTACTCCAGAAGAACTAAAGATGTTTTGTAATGTAGAGTAGGACATGCCTCAGATTATTATCTTAGGGACACATACATTCAAAAAATAGGTCATATTGACTAAATTTATGTGACTTTATTTATATGGGGGAGATTTTGTTTGGAACAAATTTAGGGGGTTGTTTTCTTCTGAAACTAATCTATCACATTCCCCCAAAATTTCTACAGGGAGTATGATGGTTAAAGTGGTGAAAGTTCTTTTCAGAAATGGTCTGGGAAATGCAATTAGGTTTTATTAGGTGGAGAAGTAGCTCAGGGAATTTTCTCTCTTCAAGGTTTGATAAAGACTGCTAAAAAAAAAAGTTTTTACATTTAAGTGACAATTGACAGCTTAAGAAAGACAGGTTGGATCCTTGTGCTGATCTTCAGAAGCTTAAAGTTAGAGATCAAATAATTCTGACTGAAAGCCATATTAAAGAGCCTGGCTAATATGGGAAATAGATTACAGAGTCTGATCACAGGCTTTATTCAGAAATTGGATATCATTGATATAATGTGAATTGCACAAAGCAATCTATCCAACAGGGGAAGGACCTGACGGTACTTAGAGATTTCATTTGGAAGAGTTTGAAAATATTGGGTATTTTAGTTTATTTTAAGTGACAGATGAATGGAAGTAAGCTAAATATTTGATATCAATGACTTTTTAAATACAATAAAAATTAGATTAAATTATTTAAAAATGTTTACGAACTTTCGCAAAACTATAGGACTTTAAAATCAATCCTATTATTTGCAACACTCACTGCTTTTGTTCTTGATTGGTGAGGCGGTAAACATTTGTGAATATGTCTGATCTCTGCTGAAATTTGATTGAAAAGAAAAGAACAGGCATTTTGATACTTATTACCTCTTTTTTTCTTGGGCCTTCTGACCCTTACAAAATAGAACTGTCAATTGAATTAACTTTTTTATTGAATACCTTCTTGTGCAAGGGCCTGTACTTGAAGAAACATGATAAAATGAGTACAACAAGGTCTCTGCCCTCCAGTTGTTTAATCTACAGATAGAGAAATCTTTCTGTTGCCTGTTGGTTATTACCATCCAGAATTTCTACATAACCTTAAATTTAACATATGCAAGACTGGATTGAACACCTCTTTCTTTATAATTCTCACCTTAGTTAATGTCAGTGGTGCCTCAAGCTGTCTGCCAAGCCTGAAATACAGAAGTCATTCTTGAAGCATCTCTTCATCCACCCCTCACATGCAATCTATCAAGTTATCTTAAATTGATCTCTTCAATGTGTAAAATTTTAATTCTCATGTCAGAGGTCATAGTTACTGTTCCTGAATTAGTGTAATAGTTCCTTGAATAACTTCTGTGCTTATGTATATCAATATAAAGTTATCAATTATCTTTTCTTGAAAAGACTCTCTTTTATAATGAGGGTTTTATCTATCTTAACTTTCTGTTGTTTATTTTGAAAATAATGCTTGATTATGGTGCAAATTTAAATAAGAATCCAAATAATACAAGTTACTATAAATTACTGAACATGTATTATGTCCCATGCGGTATTCCAAGGGCTTTAAGCATATTGTTTCAATTATTCTCACAATAACCCTCTCAGGTAAATACTATTACTATCTATATTTTAGCATTAAGCAAACAGTATTTAAAGGTTTATTACTTTTATATGTTAAAATATATAGCATTTTCATAAAAAATAGAGATTTCTTTTTATTTTTCTTAGTTAGCTAAGTAAAATATTTGGCTGATCTAGGCTATTTTTAATAGATTGACTAATTGATTAATTGAATGTTTACTGAAATACAAAATCAGATAATCTCTTTGTTAATGGTTTGCCTTTGATATATTTCTTTTTATTTGAGCAGGTCTGTCACTTACAAAGATACTGTGATGGCAGTTTATACAATGTTTTATTGAGCAATCTGCCACATTGCACAAACATTGAACTTCATGTTTTTGTTCAATAAATGAAGCTCGAAGACTAGTTGATATGCTATTATATAGATCAGGAGTGATGAGGAATCAGTGAGTAGAAACCATATGAAAAGGAGAGGTAAGGAGTTACAAGCCCATAAAGATAAAGTGACCAGAATTTGGTGTTAAAATGAAGTGTCCAAGAGAACTCTAGATCTGTAAGAGCAGCTGGAGTAACAGTGACTTTGCAATACTACAAAGAGATAGCAGTTCTGGCAGAGATCCCGGGTTGATTGATGCTTTAGATGTTTGATTCTAATAATACAGTAGTTTCATCTGTTTGTTAAATTTTTAAATGATTACTCTTCCTCTTGAGTAATTAATGCAAGTTTCTCTTATTTCCATAGTACTTTCTACATCATTTCCAGTCTCCATTTCACTGTCTTATCCATTAAAGGAAAGGCTCTCATAAAAGCAATTTAGACTAACATACTTTTTCTTATGGGGCATTTATATTTTAAATCTACTTTTTGATTATGAAATCATATTGTATAAATAACAAATTACCATAAACTTAGTGACTAGAAACAAGAAAATTTAGAGTTTTTGTAGGTCAGAAGTCTGGGCGCAGTTTAGCTGGGTCCTCTGCTTAGGGTATGACAGGCTGCAATGCAGGTGTTGTCTGGAGCTTGGTTCTCATCTGGAGGCTCACCCAGGGGAAGGTCCACTGCCCCCCTCACATAGTTGTTGGCAACATTCAGTTCCCTGTGATTTTACATTTCATGGCAGTTTGCTTTTTCAAAGCCAGCAAGGGGATAAAAAGAGAATAGAGAAAGTCGCTAGTAAGAGCAAATACTATACAATGTAACATAATCACATGAGTAAAGCCTATCACCTTTACCACATTCTGTTGGTTAGAAGCAAAGCACAGGTACTGCCTACATTCAAGGGAAGGAAATTCACAAGGATGTCAACAGCACAAAGCAGAGATCACAGGGCTGGGATCATTTTTACATTAAATTAAAAATAGTTTAATGTGTTTTAGGGATGGAGTCTCACTCTGTTGCCCGGGCTGGAATGCAATGATATGATCATAGTTCATTGTAACCTCAAGCTCCAGGGCTCAAGTGATCCTCCTGCCTAAGCCTCCTGAGTGGTTGTGACTACAGATCTATACCACCATATTGATCTTAAAATCTGCTTGCCACAGGATTAGAATTGGCTCATGGTTAATATTTTACTGTAATTTTAATTTTTTTCCTTTTTCAGGTCTCCTTTAAAATCAGTATATTAATTTTGGTTAATGAAGATTTAATGTTATCTACTTTCTGTTATTCTAATAACAGCAAAATATACCCTGCCATGAAATGTTTTTTTCTATTTGCGCTTCTAATTTACATATTAGTTCCAAGTATGGTAAAAATGAAACAACAATAACAGCAATCTAGTAAAGCAGAGCCAATAGTAGTAAAAAGCCAAGTAAACAAACAAACCACAAACAGAACAGAATAATAAAGATGTAATGATGTAAACCTAATACTATTTGTTCATGCTTTACCTGCTCAGACTGGCTCAGTGAATCCTACTGTTCTGGAAAACATGAGTTTAAAGGACAAGCATTCCTATACAGCAATAATAGACAAACAGAGAGCCAAATCATGAGTGAACTCCCATTCACAATTGCTGCAAAGATAATAAAATACCTATGAAAACAACTTATAAGACATGTGAAGGACCTCTTCAAGGAGAACTACAAACCACTGCTCAAGGAAATAAGAGAGGACACAAACAAATGGCAAAACATTCCATGCTCATGGATAGGAAGAATCAATATCATGAAAATGGCCATACTGCCCAAAGTAATTTATAGATTTAATGCTATCCCCATCAAGCTACCATTTACTTTCTTCAAAGAATTAGAAAAAACTACTTTAAATTCCATATGGAACCAAAAAAGAGCCAATATAGCCAAGACAATCCTAAGCAAAAAGAACAAGGCTGGAGGCATCATGCTAACTGACTTCAAACTATACTACAAGGCTACAGTAACCAAAACAGCATGGTACTGGTACCAAAACAGATATATAGACCAATGGAACAGAACAGAGGGCTCAGAAATAATGCCACTAATCTGGTCTTTGACAAACTGGTCTTTGACAAACCCTACAAAAACATGCAATGGGGAAAGGATTCCTTATTTAATAAATGGTCTTGGGAAAACTGGCTAGCCATATGCAGAAAACAAAAACTGGACCCCTTCCTTACACCTTCTACAAAAATTAACTCAAGATGGATTAAAGACATAAACATAAGACCTAAAACCATAAAAAACCCTAAAAGAAAACCCAGGCAATACCATTCAGGACAAAGGCATGGGGAAAGACTTCATGACTAAAACACCAACAGCAATTGCAACAAAAGCCAAAATTGACAAATGGGATCTAATTAAACTAATGAGCCTCTGCACAGCAAAAGAAACTATCATGGGAGTGAACAGGCAACCTACAGAATGGAAGAAAATTTCTGCAATCTATCCATCTGACAAAGGGCTAATATCCAGAATCTACAAAGAACTTAAACAAATTTACAAGAAAAAAACCAACAACCCCATCAAAAAGTGGGCGAAGAATATGAACAGGCACTTCTCAAAAGAAGACATGTATGCTGCCAACAAACATATGAAAAAAAGCTCATCATCACTGGTCAATAGAGAAATGCAAATCAAAACCACAATGAGATACCATCTCATGCCATTTAGAATGGCGATTACTAAAAAGTCAGGAAACAACAGATGCTGGAGACGATGTGGAGAAATAGGAAAGCTTTTACACTGTTGGTGGGAGTGTAAATTAGTTCAACCATTGTGGAAGACAGTGTGGCTATTCCTCAAGGATTTAGAACCAGAAATACCATTAGACTTAGCAATCCCATTACTGGGTATATACCCAAAGGATTATAAATCATTCTACTATAAAGACACATGCACACGTATTTTTATTACAGCAATATTCACAATAGCAAAGACTTGGAAACAACCGAAATGCCCATCAATGATAGACTGGATAAAGAAAATGTGGCACATATACACCATGGAATACTATGAAGCCATAAATTAGCAAGAGTTCATGTCCTTTGCAGGCACATGGATGAAGCTGGAAACCATCATTCTCAGCAAACTAACACAAGAACAGAAAACCAAATACTGCATGTTCTCACTCATAAGTGGGAGTTGAACAATGAGAACACATGGACACAGGGAGGGGAACATCACAAACTGGGGTCTGTCAGGGGGTCGGGGGCTGGGGGTGGATTAGCATTAGGAGGAATACCTAATGTAGATGACGGGCTGATGGGTGCAGCAAACCACTATGGCACGTGTATACCTATGCTACAAACGTGCAGGTTATGCACATGCATCCCAGAATTTAAAGTATAATAAAAAAAGTATGTTAAAAAAGTAAAACAGTGTATCTTTACAAGTCATAAAGCAGTCAGATCTAGAAAGAAGAAGTACCATTTCTCAAGACAAGAACCAGATAACTATTATCTCAAAACCTACAAGGGCTTTTTTCCAATCTCCAGTTTATAGATTTTTTTTTAACACAAAAGCACTTTAGTTTCCAGATTAGAAGAAGCCAAAATCTCCCCCAGAAAGATAACTCACTTCTTATTAGTGGTTTAATTTTTTAAAAGGCTAAGTTTCATTCCTGTGCATTTGATTGCAGAGCAATTGAGTGGTAGGGGGATATTTTGCAAGGGAGAAAAATTGTGTGAGAAAACAGCAAATTCCTTACCTGGAGTTTTTACTTTAGCATTTAAATTTACACCTTCAGTCATCATAAAGATTATCATAGTGGTGAATTTCAAAATTTCTTGTTGTGTTTTGATTTATTAAGACAGCAAGATGAGCAAAATGAAGTTGTAAAAATTTGTAGAAATGTTTACCAGTTTGGATTTGGCTAGGATTTTCTCTTGTTTAACTTTTTTAGGGAAAGATTTATGAATCTTGAGTAATCAGCTTAAAATGCTGTATACGTATCCATGGGTTAGACATGAAACTCTCACCTTTATAGCAACTTTAAGTGAATATTTAGGCCTGAAATACTTCGATTTGAACTAAAAAATAGTATGGAGAATCCTTCCTTGAATCTTTGGAAGTTGATTGTTGTTGTATTTATGTAAATATAACACGAAGACTTTGGGCTTGTACAGACAGCAGCCCTGGAAGAATATATTTAATTTAGAATTATTGCACCAACAAATGAGTTACTTGATGAATGAAACTATACTATGGTATAAATAACACATGATTTACTAAATAGTCAACTTCTGTGTATGTTGATAGAAAGATTAGAATAATACTTAGTAGCAAACATAGTTGTTTCGGTAATATTTCCAATTTCTCTTTACTAAGAAATTGGTGAAATTCACCCGTGTCAAGTCCCGGGAAGTGCTTCTGTCATGGTCTTCTTTGTATGGTCTTTTGTTGTCCTGACGTGACATCTAAATCAAATTTTCTAGCTTCCACCTTGATAGAAGCTAGGTTTAGAGAGCCATTGCAAGTTTTATTTCAGTCTATTTCTGCAATTTCTTAGTTTCTCAACTATATTCCTATGGGATTACTTCATATTTTGTCTAATTTTGTTTTACAGGTGTGAGGGATGCCAGATGTTATGGGATTTTCTCTCCTCTAGTATATGTTTGGGAAAAGGTGATGGCTGCCCTAGAGTGAAATGATTTGTCTGTGCTATTCAGGCAGACATTTCAGGTTACAAGTCCTGCTCTGACTCTTTTTGGGGAAAGAAATGCCCTCTAGGTTGAGGTCATGGAACACAATGGGCTGCCATATTTAATAAGACATTAAATCTATGTTCCCTTCATGCTTTACTATTAAATTATCAGTGTTTTATTATTTACCTAGTTTACTCCAATGTGTGTGTAAGACGACATCTACAAAATTAGTATACTTTTTAAAGGAAAGAGCCAAATTATGTAAATATTTGTAAGTAGTAAGAGGCAGCTTGAAAATGAGATCTGAAACCTTTAGTATCTACAACAGGACTCATTCTTTCTTTATTCTCAGTTCTTGTCCCAACACATCGATACCCATTCTTTCTGTCCATATGGTGTTTTTTTTGTTTGTTTGTTTGTTTGTTTTTTTGTTTTTTTTTTCTACCCTAACTGTTCTCTATTTCCCAGAATAAGTAGATAACATATAGCTCTTTGGCCGCAGACCAAAACATTAACAACTTTGAAACTTTCATCTTTTACATCCTATTTGGAAATCTTACCTTAGAAGATTTTCTTGAAAATAGCCCCTTAAAGGAGTTATACTAATGGGGGCTAGGCTTTAAAAGGTTTCTTGGAATTATTAACCTTAAATATTAAAATGTATTATATTAATTTAAATGATATATTTTCAAAGAGAGAGGCCATGTCGACTCCATAGAAAGTCAAATGTAAATAATAAGTTAACAACCATTGATCTATAGAGTATCTGTTTCATGTACAATACATTAGAAAAATATCTCAATGCCTTAAATTTCCTCTATCTAAATAGTTGCTTAAATTCATAGTAATTAAACCCCTGAAGAAGAAAATTTGAGCCCTGATATTGAAGACGAGAAATAGAGACTAATAATGATATATAGATAAATGTTTTATCAGATGTTCTACATTATTCTTCCAAATTTTCATACTCTACCAACATTATTGTTCACATAGAACCTACAGTGGATGCTTTTAATGATATACAGTGGACCCTGGGGTTAAATTGTGAAACCCTGGAAATAGCACAGCATAGTTAATTATTAATATTAACTCAGCTCTCACACACAATCATGGAAATGTTGGCATATGTCCTGCTATTGCGTATTCCCAAATTTGTTTTTTTTTTCTATTTCTTTGGAAGACCCAAGACATTACCCACACAGATGCATACTTATTAATCCTAAAGGATCTTTTAAAAACAAATCTAATATTAGCTTTGTATAACTTAATTTCCTTTCCCAAATATTGTTTAGTATATCAGCTACCTTTGCCTAGATGTATTTGGTACATATATATTTAATAACATGGAGATGAGATGAGTGTAAGGTCTTTAGGCATTTTAAGAAGATGGTGATACTCTCTGAAGTTATTAGAAAATGATTTTCTTCATGGCTGATTAGTATATATGGATCCTAGAAAAAAATATATATGTATATATATATATATATATATATGAAATGAATGTCTTCTTACATAGGGTCAGTTGGAAAGGAGACTTTCTACTTATAATATTTACAAGACTTTTCCCCAAATGTAATACAGTAATATCTACCAAGTGTTTTCCAATGAATTTTAAATGAACAAAAGTCAGGGGGCTGTTATATTAAGGAATAAAGAGCTTTTTTGTCCTGGACAGTGAATACAATTTGCATTGTTTCAACTTGGCTCCATTTCTGCTATGAGAGTTGTAGCTTTAGTTTCATAGCAAACTTATTTTAAGGAACAACTAATTTTGAAGTCACTCTGGGTATGTGATTATATTTTCAATTGTGTCTCTCCTGTTTTGAAGGAAGATATACTATTCTTAAAACTCAAATTCCTAATTGAGAATATTTGATATTCTGAAGATTTAGTAGTGGTATCATAATCCCAAATACTATAAAAGTGGAAAAGCACAGTTTTTTCTTAGCTACCTGCTAAGCTCATGAAAATAAATATACTTTTTGGCGTCACAGCACTTATGCCTAAGCATCAATAGCTATACTAGAGGTAGAATAAACTAGAGGTCATTTATCTCAATTTCTGGCATTATAAATAATAAATGTGAGACTCATCAAGGTGAACGTTAAGTTTTAAGGTTATATAGCTAGTTATTGGTAAAATAAGTTATAACCACATCTCTTGCTTTTTCTTTTTTGCCATATGATGCATAATGCACACCTCTCTTTGAAAATACATATTTGACCCACAAGAATTTCCTTAGAAATCTAATCATGTGGAGATTATAAGTCTAAGAGATATTGATAGTTCAATGTCAACTCATTGATCTGGTGCAGACTCATAATGAATGTAGTTAATATACAATTACAGAATCATCAGATACCAATGTGAAGTCCTTTCATCTTAATTATTTGTAGAAAATATATGCTATTTTACTTTTAACATATGCAGATGACCTAATCCATTCTTTTTATGCCTCTTTTTAAAATTCCAGACAGAAATTCAGTTTTCCCACTGGCATTATTCTGTGGAGAACTTGTTTTAACCAATGAAAAGTTGAAGTGGTTTTATTCCTGCTCCTTGGTGCCCCCTGCCTAGACCTTTCAAACACCAGAATCACATAGGACTTGAAATAAAGTTATAGTCTACATAGGTGTTGTGCTACAATCAGCCTATATAATCAAACAGTTTAATTGTCATAGCTTCATATGTCATAAAAACAAGAGAAAGTGAATGGCTGAGTTATTTCAAGAAACATTTAATAGAATTCTAGCACACTGAAGAGAACTTAGATGGAAATAAAAATCACAGCCTCTTCATTCTTCGTTTTTAACATATGCCACCTTATAATTCTTTGTTTGGAATATTTACCTTCTGCATTTCTGTTGAAAGGTGCTAGGATATGAAAATAAAGAACTTAGAGATTGGACTGTAAAAAAAGAATGTAGAATGGAAACATGAATTAACGTGAAAGACTTGCTTTATAATTCATTCCTTAAATATCTGATGTGGTTTGCCTTTGTGTCCCTACCCAAATCTCATCTTGAATTGTAATCCCATAATCTCCACCTGTGGTGGGAGGGACTCAGTGGGAGGTAACTGAATCATGGGGGCAGTTCCTCCCGTGCTATTCTTGTGATAGTGAGTGCATTCTCACAAGATCTGATGGTTTTATAAGGGGCTTCCCCCTTCACTCAGCACTGATTTTCTCTCCTGCCACCCTGTGAAGAGGTGCTTTCTGCCATGATTTTAAGTTTCCTGAGGCCTCCCTAGCCATGTGGAACTGTGAGTCAATTAAACCTCTTTTCTTTATAAATCACCCAGTCTCAGGTATGTCCTTACAGCAGTGTGAAAATGGACTAATACATATCTATTTTAAAATATTTATTGGAACAAATTTTATTTAACATTCAAAGTTGTGCTTCTATATCATAATTTGGGCTTAAAATTGCAATATGAGTTTTTCCTCTTTGAGTCTTAGTTTTCCTGTCTATAAAGTAGAGATTGTGATAATTTCTACTTTACTGGGGTTTTGAAGAAAATATTTTAAAAAATCCTATGTGCTTGAAACATCTTGTATGTTAACAAAATACATTTTGTCTATGTTTATAATTATATTTTATTAAGACTGAAATTTGATGATATGGTGTCTACTTTTATTTCCAGCTCTCAAATTTTACAGCACCAACATTTCATCACCAAACACAGTTAAACTTCCATAAAGAGCCAGTCTATTTATCTCAGTCCAGTGAAAATTTCTTTCTTTCCTTCTCCTACCCCCTGCAGCATGCTAATTATGACACTGATCATTATTTATCTTTGCATCTTCCAGGGAGTGCCTAGCTGAGTGCCATTCACTCAATGAATAATCTTACTCCTTTCGAATCAAGAAAGCCTGGACACTTCTGTAGCTATCATTCTATGGCATATTGTGAAGAGCCAGTTCATTAACTGATCAAGTTACTCAAAACTCCACCCCTAGAAAAATATTAGGAGGTCAATTTAGTTGCCTCGGCAGCCACCAAAAACATCACTGAGCAGGCATGGGTGGGTTAGTTCTTACCAACTTTTCCTCCCTATACTCATTAAAGTGTAACTTTGAATGGCTCTCAAATTTTCCTATGTATTGATCAAGTTTGAAAATGATTCTATGCTTGGATTTGTGAAGCCAGGTTTAGGTTTTATCTCTCTACTCATGATCACCCATATCCACTCAATAAAATGACAGTAGTTACTAGCTATCTGCCTCCTTGTGAGGATCTTTGAGACAATCTTTGCAAAATATTTTAAGGTCATTTAGAGAGAGAGAGATTCTAAACAATACTGGTATTTTCTCTTCCTAAATCTCAGTGCTCATCTGAAAGGTTCATATTTTTATGTGGCATTCTAGGGGTAGTATTATACATGGCCAAAAAAGTTTTCAGTACCATCTTATTAACTTCTTATGCTCTTTTATTGAAGGAAGAAGAAAACATTTAAGTCCACTGAAATTTAACTTTATTCTCATTGAAGTGAAAGTATCTAAGATGCTCTCTCTGAAAGTGTAATAGGGATACAGGACAGCACTCTTAGAAGATAAGATCATTCAAAACAAAAGTTCTCAGGGATCATTTTCAAAATGGTGCTCCCCTCTCAGAGCACTGGTGCCCCTCCACTTTATTGTTGATACAGAGGCCCTTCCTGTCAAGCTAATCATTTTTTTGTTTGAATTAGAATGAAAATTTTCTCTTGTGCTTTGCTATCCTGAGTTAAGACAGATGAAGTAGGAAACAGGCAAGGTTATGTCACCATTCTACTTGTCTCCATTATGACATAGATATTTATAATTTAGATGGTATCATTGCCTCCTAACTTTCTAACAACACCCCTCAATATGATTCTGTCCCTAACATTTTTCTCCGAGCAAGAAGTCTAATCTTTTAAAAGAACTTCTGAGCATGTCCCTTCATAACTAAAACCATCACTGATACCGACTGCCTGTGGATATATTTCAAACATCTCAGTCTGATATCCCAAACCCTGTATGACTATAACTTGCTTTCCTAGCCATATCTCTCACTTTTTTCTAGGTGAACTGGTATTCTACACAAACTATTATACCCAATGTCTATTTACCCTATTGTTTAATTTTCCATTCTCCAGATTTTTGCTGTTTCCCAGCCTCTGCTTTTCCTGCTTCCCATGCTTGCGGGCCATGTTTAAATCCCATTTTCTTTAACTGCCTTTGTGGAAAAGTGCCCCTTATATGTTTATAAATTCAATACTGCTCTTAGGTATAACTACTGCTGCTGGTATTGCCATTGTTGTTAAACATGTCTTATGTATCTCACTGTACTAAAAGCTCCCGAGGGCAGAGTTTGCAAATCAACTGTCGTTATCATCCTCACAAGACCACATCCCTGGCCTGAGCTCAAATATTTATTTGTTTAATGATACCTAATGTCATTTATCATACCATTATGATTGGTGTTGCAGGCCTTGCAACAGATATTTTAGACATTTCTTTCATTTATTTAATATATTTTCACAATGATACTGAAAAATGACTATCATTACAATTAAATCTTTAAAAAAGGGAAAGAAACTAGGATCCCAGAAAAAGTGATGTGACGTGCTAAGGGCATCGAATCAAAGTTTCTGGGACAGTTGTAAGCAGGTTTCTCTCACTTTAGAAACTTTTCCCACTACAGTTTGGGCAAGGATTCTAATATTTAAAAAAATTTAAACAAAACTAAAATTATTTATGCAAAGCCAGTTAGTATGGTTTATGAGACTAGAGCCCTGATAACTCCTCAGATAACCTGAGTATGAGAAATATCAAGAAATTGAAACATTTTGCAAATAATCCTTTGTCGTATGTTATGCATGTGCTATATTTGTTGTCAAATTTGTGTTATGCTCCAGACAATGAAAGAGATGCATTTCTTGCTCATACTGCTTATAATTGACATATGTAGGGTCATCTGTAGAATAACTTGTAAGGGAGAAAAAGATTGTGGCATTTGTTCTGTCATAACTTGACCTACATGAGCCCCTCCAAAATTTCTCAGTTTGCTTCATATGTTCCACTGATATCTATATTCAGATATAATTTCTGAGCCAATGTCAATCAAAGGTGGCCCTTTGGGTTTTAGAGTTAAGTCGCCTGTCTTTGATCTGGTAGCCAGGCTGTGATGGCTAGCTTTAGATATTTTCCCTATATTTCTCTTGCTGTCAGGTTACCCCTTGGTATACCTGTAATTGATTTCCCCAGTTAGAGAGTTTAGATGTGGACAGGGGAAGTACAAACTACAGCTTAGTGCAAGATAAACCAAGGGTGTAATTATCAAGTTGTACTTGAACAGAAATATTACCCAATAGGATTTCCAAATGAACAGGATGGCAAAGAGTTCTGGGGTGTGGAAGTCAGAGTAGGTGCCAAAGGATCTAGATCAAAGGGGTTGGTAGATGAGCAGGGATGGGTCAGAGAAATCTAGGACTGTTAAAGCAAGCATGACCCAGGCCATGTTCTGAGGTTGGTAAAGTGAATTATAGAAGGTGAGACCAAATGTGAGATTGTGAGATTTTAACCACCCCAAAGAGGGAGTATGTGCCTCAGGCAAAGAAAATGGGAAAAAAAAAACATGGTATATGGCATATTTGAGGAGCAAAGATAAGTTCATTGTCACTAGGGCAGAGCAAGGGATAAGTGAATGGTGTGAGACAAGATTGGAGAGGTTAACAGTGGCCAATAACAAGTGATAAAAATAATTTCAAATGAGAGCAGCCAGCACTTATAAAGTGGTTAATGTGCACCAAGTACTGCTTTAAGTTATCCTGCAGTATTATTGTGAAGTATTAAATAAACAACCCAATAATAAAAAGCTATAAGGAGAGCATTATTACTATTATCCTGGTTTCCAGATGAAAAAAACCTAAGTATTTCCCCAATTCACATAGTTACGATGTGTTAGAATCAAAATTTGAATCAGTGTTCTTTAGCTATGCCCGTACTCTTAGGCAAGAATGCCTTTATATAGTTCCTGTAGAATATATTAGAGATTTAATCTGAATTCTAAAAGCAACGGTAAATCCACTAAGAGATTTCAACAGCAAAGTAGAACAATCAAGCTTTATGATTAAAGATAATTTGGGCTGATGGATGGAGAATGGATCAGGAAGTGACATTAAGCAGTAAGCTATTGGAGTGGGTAGAATACTCTGCTCTCAAACACATTCTAAATTCACTTATCAATAGGAGCATTGGGATTGGTTGATTATCCACCTCAACTTTTTTATCCCAGAAAATGCTGAGGTCTAGTGCTGTTTCCCCTGAGCCACAATTTTATACTCCTTCTCTTCTCATATCACTGTGGGCAGTTTGGAGAATTGACAAATAATCCAATGTTCCAATATTTTGTATTGTAAATTGAGTAGTTGTCAGTAAGTATTAGGTCAATTTTATCAGGCATTTGTTCCTAAAATCAGCACCCACTTGTATATTTCAAACATATTTTGACCTGAATTTTAACTGTACCGTATAGCCATGAACTTAGGTGTTCAGTGAATTTACACTTCTGAGTATAAATTCAAAAAGTAATAATAGTAACCTTTTAACATTTACCAAATACTTTCTATATGTTCTAGGCATATAGCTTTAACAAATAACTGGACCATTTCCTTTATTTTTTTCAGTAATTTAATCCACAAATCTATGTCAAGAATACTCTATGTGTCAATCCTCATTCCCTAGGTACTGAGTATATAGTGGTAAACAAAACAGACATTGCCCTTGTTCTCCTGAAGTTTAAAATCTGATGGGGACATACATTGATGGTGAGAATATGAAATGATGCAGTGGAAAACAGTTTGGTGGTTTCTCAAAAAGTAAAACCCAGAGTTATCATATGACTCATGAATTCCACTCCTATGTGTCTACCCAAGAGAATTGACGAGAGTTTTTCACACAAAAACTTGCACTCAAATGTTCTTAGCAGCATTATTAATAATAAAGTGGAAACAACTCAAATGTCCATCAACTAATAAACGGAATAACAAGATATATATACACAGTGGAATATACTTCAATCATAAAAAGGGATAAAGTACTAAACTTGCTACAAGATTTATGAATCTTGAAAACCTGTTGATTAAAAAAGCCAAGATAAAAAAGGTTGCAGAATATTCTATTTGCATGAAATGTCCAGAATAGTCAAATCTACAGAGTGAAAGTAGATTAATTGTTGCCAGAGTTTATGGGGAATAGAGATATTGTGCTTTTTCTATATTGCTGAATTTAATTTTCTAAAGTTTTATTGAGGATTATTGCATGTATGTTCATCAGGAATATTGGTGTGTAATTTTGTTTGGTAAAAAGCATAAAACCTAACTAACTTAAATAGATACATTTCTAAAAAATATAATTTACAAAGAAGAAATGGAAAGCCTGAATAGTCCTATGAGTATTAAGTTGAATCAATGGTATAAAATCTTCCTAAAAAAATTACAGGCCCATTTGTTTTAGAGACAGAAAGGCACTAAACATTTAGAAAAATAATTAAAGGAGGCCTCAATAAAATTGAGACATATAATGATTCTGGATTAGAAGACTCAGTAGTCTAAAGATGTCAATTCTCCACAAATTAATTCATAGATTTAATAGAATTTAAATAAAACACTAAAATAGGATTTGAAAGATTGGAAAATAATTTATTACACCTATATATGTGAAACTGATTCCAAAATTAATGGAATTCAATAAAAACCTAACTATAGGTTTTTGGGAAGTTTGAAAGGCTTTTCACTAAATTTTTGTGCTATCTTGATGTTGCAATTTGGAAAAAAAAAAAGCTGGATAACAAAATTATGTCATGAGGGAAAAGTCAGGTGGGAATACTTCCCCTAAAAGGTATAAAAATGTTTTTAAATCTCTGGTAGGCCTAACAAAATGTTATGCTGGAAAAATAAAACAATGGAGCCAAACAGCAAATCTAGAATCAAATCCACTATATTAGTCAGAACTAATAGGTTATATATATATATATATATATATAAAGGAGAGTTTATTAGGTATTAACTTACACAATCACAAGGTCCCACAATAGGCTGTCTGCAAGCTTGAGGAGCAAGGAGGGCCAGTCCAAGTCTCAAAACTGGAGAACTTGGAGACTGATGTTTAAAGGCAGGAAGCATCCAGCAAGGGAGAAAGATGTAGGCTGGGAGGTCCACAAACAGGTACACACAAAGATTGGAGGTACACACAAGGTACACACAGGTACACACAAGATTGATAGAATTAACAATAAAACTTAGTACTTCTGTTAATCAAAATATATCAAAATTAAAGTGAAAATAAGTCATAAACTATGAGAATACATATAATATACAAAAAACTCATACTGAAAATGTATAAAGAACTCCTACAAATCAATGAGACAACCCAGTAGAAAAATAAACAAAATCATGAAGCCTGTCTTTTAGAGGAGTACATTGAATGGTTAGTAAATATATATTCAATCTCATAGTTATCAGAAAAATACAAACTGAAAAACAAAATGTGTGATCATTTTATATTTACTAGATTGTCAAAAATTAAAGTATCTAATAATTGTTAGTGAGGATATGAAAAATGTGTGTATTCTTGGACAGAACAGGTAAATATATATATTTGGATAACGAATTTGAAAACAATTAGGCCTTAGCTTGTTAAACTAAGTGTGAACATATTTTGCAACACAGTAATTCCACATATTAGCATATAGAATTTTCAAATGTTTATCAATCTGACCCATATTAAGTAACACATTTTACATTGTTATCCCAGATACTCATAAATATATATATAGCAATATATAAATAACCAGAATATTTTTTCATGAAGTAACGTTTTTATTCTATCTTATTCTTATTAATACTGTTCTAATTTTTTCCTTAATCTACATAAAAAAACTATGTTTTGATTTGAGTGATCTTCTCACTTTGGTCTCCCAAAGTGTTGCTTTCTTTAGGATGTGATCCACAGTATGAAAAGCCTCAGCCTACAGAAACTCTTTTAATATGCATCAGTCAGAATTTAAAAAAAAAATCCAAAGACATCCATTGAAGTAAATATTATAGAAACAATTTTTTTTAACTTTTATTTTAAGTTCAGGGGAACATGTGCAGGCTTCTTACATAAATAAACTCATGTCATGGGGGTTTGTGTCACAGATTATTTCATGACCCATGTATTAAGTACCCATTAGTTATTTTTCCTACTCCTTTTCCTCCTTGCCCCCTCACCCTTTCAATAGCCCCAAATATGTGTTGTTCCCTTCTGTGTGCCCATGTGTTCTCATCATTTAGATCCCACTTATAAGTGGAAACATGTGGTATTTAGTTTTTTGTTCTTGCGTTAGTTTGCTAAGGACAATGGCCTCCAGTTACATCCATGTACCTGCAAAGAACATGATCTCTTTCTTTTTTTTGGCTACATAGTATTTCATAGTGTATATGTACCACATGTTCTTGTCTATCATTGATGGGCACTCCATGTCTTTGCTATTGTGAGTAGTGCTTCAGTGAACATACACTTCTATGTGTCTTTATAACAGAACAACTTATCTTCCTTTGGGTATATACCCAGTGTAGGGATTGCTGGGTTGAATGGTATTTCTATCTTTAGGTATTTGAGATATCACCACACTGTCTCCCACAATGAAAAGCAAAAATACATAAACAACTTTTCTGTTTATTACCAAAGGAATAGATAAATAAATTTCTATATATGGTGAATGAACTCATCAGTAAAAATAAATGAACTATTCATATATACAATAACCTATATGAATCTTAAAAATATATTTGTGAAATAAGTGATTTCAGATTAAGACATACAGTATTATTAAATTACTAAGTGCAAAACAGCAAAAAATACTGTATAGTTTATGGATAATATGCTGAAGATAACAATCTCTTAAAATGAATACTGTTTGCTCCTGGTGGAGATGGGGCTGTGAGGGGGCAGATGAATTAAATCTGGAAGGAGTACACAAGGAATTTCAATGGTATTTTTAATCTTCTAGCTGTTAAATTAGGTAATGGGTTGACCAATGTTCATTCTATGATATATATTTTATACATAGACACACACACTCAGTCTTTTGTATGTATCAATGAAATATATTATACATTTTAAACAAAACAAAATATTTTCAGTTGTCCATGAACTAGTAGAATGCAGATAAATGCTACAGAAAGTGTAAAGTATTATTATTTTCTTCTTTTTTAAATTACTGACATTTCTTGATAGAGTGGTCCATCTATAGAAAATGATACAGGCTGCTGCTCTCAGGACAATGAAGAAGTATACAATTTTTGATGTGCTTTGAATTTTTTCTGTTTCATAACACTTTTAATAAAATTCCACTACAGGCAGAAAATCTTATATTATTTCTCAAGTGCTTTGAAATTCTCTACATTTTACAATTAAAAAATATTTATTGGTTTTTAATTACTGTTTGGAGAAAACTATTAGGCATCTGTCAGATATTCTATTAAGACTGACCTCTTCTTTATTTTTGGCTATAACTGTGTTGAGGACTTCTGAGTTATTAATTGTTAGTAAAGACTTTGCATTTTGTCAGGTTCATCCTGTTTTCAAAAGCCTTTACTTCAAGAAATTAATTGTTCTCTGTTTTGAACTGTAACATAGGTATGATTAGGTAGGTTTTGTGAACATCTGTGAAATATATTATCTTAATAACCAACTGTGATATTTTGAGAGCTAATATTGTTAAGTGTGACATTTGAGGCTAATTCTCCTCAATTTCAATAAGTGATTTTTTTTTGGTATGAATTAGCAATGTAGTTCCACTTAAACTGCACTAAGTGAAGATGAGATTTAGCAATCTTCTAACTAATTCAATCTATGTAGACAATCCATAAAATCATATAAAACCTTCTTTCCTTGTAGAAATTCACTTCTGTGTAACCTTGCATGTTCTCAAAACAGCTGTTACTTGGAATTAATATAGATAATGTAAGAAGCAGGATACATATGGGTTATTTATAATTTGAAACAACAAATTTATCATCTTAAATAGGTATTAACTTCACATTTTCCAAAGTGCTTTCTTTTTTATCTCATATGTTGCCTGAAGAAAGGGTACCAATGTAAAATGGCTATCACTGTTAAAAATGTAGGTTAGTTTTTAATACTACCCTTAAAGACAATTTAGCATGTGACATGACTACTTTGTGAAGAAGTTTTATCCCTGTGAGTAGTTTGTAACTTCAGAATATAATTTGTTAGAATAATGTAAAATTAATCCACATGGAATGGTATTCTGCTTTTGTTTTGCAGGTTTTATTTATTTATTTTTTTTGACACAGGGTCTCATTCTGTCCCCTGGCTGGAGTGTAGTGGTGCAATCATAGCTCACCATAACCTTGAACTCCTAGGCTCAAGCAGTCCTCCAGCCTCAGACTCCCAAGTAGCTAAAACTACAGGTGTGCCACCGTGCTCACCTAATTTATTTACTTATTTATTTTTTGCAAAGATCGTGTCTTGCTATGTTGCCCAGGCTGGCCTCAAACTCCTGGCCTCAAGTGATCCTCTCACCTAGGTATCCCAAGGTTCTGGGATTACAAGTGTGAGCCACTGTTCCCAGTCTGTTTTGTAGTTTTAATGGGAAATTACAGCATGAGTTTTGTTTTTGTCTTGTCAGGAATATAATTAGCTACCTTAAAAAATATATTTTTTCCCCAGCATCATATTTTAAATACTAGGGATGATGAAAGCTGGTCCCATTTTTCATACATTGAGGTATGTTTCTATTTGTTGAGGCATTGCTAAACAGAGCTAATACAGTTTGTCATGAGCTGGCTATAGGATATGCTAAAACAGGAAATATTTGTTCATTTTTCCATTCTTTCTCTTGAAAGTAGTCTTCAATTTTATTTTTTGGTAAGAAAATTATGTTTCTTTAATAGTTACTCAAATTGTGAGTTAGGCTCGTGTTTAGGATGTATAATGCTGGGAAGAGAATCACTCCCAACCTAGTAAGAAGAAAATGCCAGATAACCTATAAAATTATAATTTTATTGAACCTGTCATTATGATGTTAGCTGGCTATTTTGCTCGTTAGTTGATGCAGTTTCTTCCTAGTCTCGATGGTCTTTACAATTTAGCATGTTTTTGCAGTGGCTGGTACCGGTTGTTCCTTTCCATGTTTAGTGCTTCCTTCAGGAGCTCTTTTAGGGCAGGCCTGGTGGTGACAAAATCTCTCAGCGTTTGCTTGTCTGTAAAGGATTTTATTTCTCCTTCTCTTAGGAAGCTTAGTTTGGCTGGATATGAAATTCTGGGTTGAAAATTCTTTTCTTTAAGAATGTTGAATATTGGCCCCCACTCTCTTCTGGCTCGTAGAGTTTCTGCCGAGAGATCAGCTGTTAATCTGATGGGCTTGCCTTTGTGGGTAACCCAACCTTTCTCTCTGGCTGCCCTTAACATTTTTTCCATCATTTCAACTTTGGTGAATCTGACAATTACGTGTCTTGGAGTTGCTCTTCTCAAGGAGTATCTTTGTGGCATTCTCTGTATTTCCTGAATCTGAACGTTGGCCTGCCTTGCTAGATTGGGAAAGTTCTCCTGTATAATATCCTGCAGAGTGTTTTCCAACTTGGTTCCATTCTCCCTGTCACTTTCAGGTACACCAGTCAGATGTAGATTTGGTCTTTTCACATAGTCCCATATTTCTTGGAGGCTTTGCTCATTTCTTTTTATTCTTTTTTCTCTAAACTTCTCTTCTCACTTCATTTCATTCATTTCGTCTTCCATCACTGATACCCTTTCTTCCAGTTGATCAAATTGGCTACTGAGGCTTGTGCATTCGGCACGTAGTTCTCGTGCCTTGGTTTTCATCTACATTAGGTCCTTTAAGGACTTCTCTGCATTGATTATTCTAGTTAGCCATTCTCCTAATTTTTTTTCCAGGTTTTTAACTTCTTTGCCATGGGTTCAAACTTCCTCCTTTAGCTCGGAGTAGTTTGATCATCTGAAGCCTTCTTCTCTCAACTCATCAAAGTCATTCTCCGTCCCGTTTTGTTCCATTGCTGATGAGGAGCTGCGTTCCTTTGGAGGAGGAGAGGTGCTCTGATTTTTAGAGTTTCCGGTTTTTCTACTCTGTTTTTCCCCCATCTTTGTGGTTTTATCTACCTTTGGTCTTTGATGATGGTGACATACAGATGGGTTTTTGGTGTGGATGTCCTTTCTGTTTGTTAGTTTTCTTTCTAACAATCAGGACCCTCAGCTACAGGTCTGTTGGAGTTTACTGGAGGTCCACTCCAGACCCTGTTTGCCTGGGTTTCAGCAGCGGAGGCTGCAGAACATAGGATATTGGTGAACAGCAAATGTTGCTGCCTGAGCGTTCCTCTGGAAGTTTTGTCTCAGAGGAGTACCTGGCTGTGTGAGGTGTCAGTCTGACCCTACTGGGGGGTGCCTCCCAGTTAGGCTACTCGGGGGTCAGGGACCCACTTGAGGAGGCAGTCTGTCCATTCTCAGATCTCCAGCTGAGTGCTGGGAGAACCACTACTCTCTTCAAAGCTGTCAGACAGGGACTTTTAAGTCTGCAGAGGTTTCTGCTGCCTTTTGTTTGGCTATGCCCTGCCCCCAGAGAAGGGGTCTACAGAGGCAGGTAGGCCTCCTTGAGCTGCGGTGGGCTCCACCCAGTTCGAGATTCCCAGCCACTTTGTTTGCCTACTCAAGCCTTGGCAATGGTGGGCACCCCTCCCCCAGCCTCGCTGCTGCCTTGCAGTTTTATCTCAGATTGCTGTGCTAGCAATTAGCGAGACTCTGTGGGCATAGGACCCTCCAAGCCAGATGCGGGATAGAATCTCCTGGTGTGCCATTTGCTAAGACCATTGGAAAAGCAGAGTATTCCAGTGGGAGTGACCTGATTTTCCAGGTTCCGTCTGTCACCCCTTTCTTTGACTAGGAAAGGGAATTCCCTGACTCCTTGCACTTCTTGGGTGAGGTGATGCCTTGCCCTGCTTCAGCTCACACTTGGTGCACTGCACCCACTGTCCTGCACCCACTGTTCGACACTCCCCAGTGAGTTGAACCCGGTACCTCAGTTGGAAATGCAGAAATCACCTGTCTTCTGCGTTGCTCACGCTGGGAGCTGTAGACTGGAGCTGTTCCTATTCGGCCATCTTGGCTCCTCCGATTCTATTTTTATGAAATGTCCAGAATGAACAAAACCATATATACAAAAAGGAGGTTATTGGTTACCAGAGGCTGGGAATAGAATAGAATAGGGAGTGACTGCTAATTCATATGGGGTTTCTTTTGGGAATTATGAACATATTCTGAAATGAAATAATAGAGATGATTTTATAACTTTGAATATACTAAGACACACTGAGTTGTTAACTTTTTGGATATACTAAGGCACAGTAATTTTAGTGAATTGTCTGAAAAAGAAATGAAATAAGCAATCTTTATTTATAATGGCTACAAAAATACACATAAAATACCTAAGAATACATTTAACCAAGGGGTTGAAAAATCTCTACAATGAAAACTATAAAATATTGATGGAAAAATAAAGACACAAATAAATTTTAAAAATATGTCATGTTCATGGAATGAAAGAATTAATATTGTGAAAATGTCTGCACTAGTCAAAGTAATCTATAATTCCATATAATTGCTATCAAAATGTCAATGACATTCTTCATAGAAATTAAAAAAAATAAAACTTGTATGGAATCACAAAATATCCTGAATAGTCAAAACATTCTTGAACAAAATGAACAAAGCTGGAGGTATCACACTGCTGGACTTCACAACATACTATTATATAAAGTGATAGTGAGCAAAACAGCATGGTATTGGCATAAAAATGACACGTAAACCGATGTAACAGAATAGAAAGCTCAGAAATAAACCCACAAATCTACAGCCAACACATTTTTGACAAAGGTTCCAGGTACACAAAATGAGGAAAGATAAAAGATAGACTCTTTAATAAAATTGTGCTTAGAAAACAGTATATCCACAGTTCTCAATATCCTCAGAAGAATGATACTAGATGTTTATCTCTCACCATATTAAAAATTTACTCAAAATGGATTAAAGAATTGCATGTAAGTCCTTAAACTACACAACTACTAGAAGAAAATATAGGAGAAAAGCTCCATGATATTGATCTAGTAAGGAATTTTTGGATAAAACCCTGAAAGCAAATATAGACAATTGGATTATGTCAAACTAAAAGAACTTCTGCAGAGCAAAGAAAACAATCAACTAAGCAAAGAGACCACTTGTTGAATGGGAGAATATATTTGCAAACTACACATCCAGTAAGAGTTTAATATCTAAAATATATAATGAACTCAAACAACTCAGCAACTACAAACTCCAAATAACCCAATTAAAGAATGGACAACCAACTTGAATGGGCATCTTTCAAAAGAGACACACAAGTAACCAAGAGATATATAAAAATACCAAACTTCACACTAATCATTAGGGAAATGCAAATCAAAACTATAATGAAATATAACCTCACTACAGTCAGAGTGGCTACTATACAAAAATCAAAAGATAACAAATGTTGGTGAGGACATGGAGAAAAAAGAATCCTTGTACACTGCTGGTGGGAAAGTTACCTAGAACAGCTATTATGGAAAACAGTATGAAGGTTCCTCAAAAAGTAAAAACATAATTACTGCATGATCCAGGACTGCCACTACTGAGTATATATTTACAAAATGAAGTCAGCATATCGAAGACATACCTGCACTCCTATATTTATAGTGGCACTATTCACAATAGCCAAGATGACCATCAATGAATGAATGGGTGAAGACAATGTGGTATATATACACAATGGAATACTGCTCAGCCTTAAAAAAGAAAAACTATCATTAGTGGCAACATGGATGAACCTGGAGGACATTATGTTAAGTGAAATAAACCAGTCACAGAAAGACAAATACTGCATAATTGATCTCACTCATATGTGGAATCTAAAAAGTTGTTCTCATAAAAGTAGAGAAGAGAACAGTGGTTCTCAGAGGATGGGGAGAGTAGGGAGAAGTGAGGGATGGTGAGAGATTGGTCAACGGGTACAAAACTATGTTAGATATGTGGAATACGTTCTGGTGTTCTATTGCATAATAGGATGACCAGAGTTAACAGTAGTGTCATTGTATAGTTCGCTGGGAGAGATTTATAAATGTTATCGCAAAGAAATGATAAATGTTTAAGGTGATAAATATTCTAATTATCATGATTTGATCATTACACAACTTACATGTGTATGAAAACATCACATTGTACTCCATAAATATATACAATTATCGTGTCAATCATAATTAAAACTTTTAAAAATCTTTTAAAAATAGAGATATGAAAAATAAAAAACCCAAATCAGACTTCCAGAGATTAGAAATAGTATGTGTGAAGTAAATCGTATACTAAATGAGATTAGTGAGACATTAGACACCCCAGAAAAAAAATTAGGAACTTGAAGATGTACCAGTAGGAACAGTCTAAAATTAAACACCAAAGGAAAACGTATTTTTTAAAGAAAAAGCATTAATAATCTGTAGGGCAATTTTATGTAACCTAACAGATAGGTAATTGGATTTTATGAAGGAAGGATATGTAGATAAAATATTTGAATTAATAATAGATGTTAATTTTTCAAATTTGATGACAACTCTAACCCCAGAATTTTAAGAAGCTCAAGAAGTTCCAACCACAAGAAACATGAAGAAAACTATACTAAGGTGAATACAGTGATGAGAAAATTTCAGATGCAGCCAAAGTAAAAAACCACAGTGTTTGTAGAACAGGAAAAGAAAGAATAACAGGAGGTATCTTATGAGAAACAATGTAATACGAATGACCAGTATTTTTAAATTACTGAAATAAAAATTAAACAATCTAGAATTTTATTTCAGTAAAAAAATTTCATTAAAAAAGGTAAAACAAAGACTTTTTTAGACATACAGAAGCTGAAAGAAATAATCACCATCAGAAGTACACTAAAAGAAATGCTGAAAATGTTGCTCAGGCACAAGGACAATGCAAAGAGAATAAAAACCAAACCTAATGTCAGAAGAAACTATTTACATATCCCACGTCTGAAAAAGCCTTTGTATCTGGAATACATAAAGAACTTTCAAAAATCAATTCAAAATTTTAAAAATATCAAAAAGATTTGAACAGAGACTTTACAAAAAAGTATAGTGATGGCCAAAAAAAAAAAAATGCACATGAAATAGTGCTCAACGTCTTTAGTCCTGAGGTAAATGTAATAGTCCTTACTGTAAATTAAAATCACAATCAGATGGACCTATTAGAATGGCTTTAAAAACTGACAATATGAATTGTTGAGGAGATGCAAAGCAGCTGGGACTATCATACTTTGCCATTGAAAATAAAAATGATTCGGCTACTTGAAACATCAATTTGTCATTTTCTTTTACAGTTGAACATACACTTAACATTCAACCCAACAATCCCACTCCTAGGTATTTATCCAAGTAAACTGAAAACTTATGTTCACACACAAATCTTTACGTTAATGTATGGCTTTATTTATAATGGCCCTAAAATGGAAGCAAGAAATATGTCCTTCAAAAGGTAAATGAATAAACTAAATGTGGTACATACATATAATTGAGTAATACTCAGGAATAAAAAGGAATACATTTCTCCTGTATTCAAGAACATCAATGAGTCTCAAATGCATGTTTACCAAATGAAAAGAGGCCACACCTAAAAGACTTCATATGTATATTCCATTTTTATGACCTTCCATAAACAGCAAAACTAAAGGAACAGAAAGCAAATCAGAGGGTACTCAGAATTAGGGGTGAAGGAAGGTGTTGACTATAATGGTGCATTAAGGGGTCCTAGGGGTTGAGGATTATATTTATACTGTTTTTGCTGGTTCGTTATAAGATTGTATGCATTTGACAAAACTCATGAGTTGTACACCATAAAGAATAAGTTTTACTTCATATAAATTATACCTGAATAAAATTGCAATAACAGAGAATGGGAAAATTTAGGAGGACAAATGGGAAGCTGAATTGGAGAGAACCTCTAAAGTACTTATACATTCAGGCAAACTCATTTATTAGGCGACCGTTGTTTGGATGGATGGTAAAATGCGGTGAGGTAATATAGATAAAAAGTAAAGCATATTAAGACATTCCAAAATGAATGCATTTTCATCATCAAGGAGTTCATAGTCTACTGAGGGAATCTATCCTTTTTATTGACACCATAAAATAATGTAGTAAGTGCTATGAAGCGGCTAATATAAGGTGTTCTTGGATCCCACAATGGAATAAATCGCCAGACACAGGTGTGGGGCAAAAGGCTGCCTGGAAGAGACATCAATGAGGAGATAAGAAAGAGTGCCTAGAAGGAAAGGGGATTTTCTTTTCTTTTCTTTTCTTTTTTTTTTTTGAAATGGAGTCTCACTTACCTCTGTTGCCCAGGCTAGAGTGCAATGTCATGATCTCGGCTCACTGCTACCTCCACCTCCCGGGTTCAAGTGATTCTCCTGCCTTCCTGCGTCAGACTTTGGAGTAGCTGGGATTAAAGGTGTGTGCCACCACACCTGGCTAATTTTTGTATTTTAAAAATGGAGACTGGGGTTTCACCATGTTGGCCAGGCTGGTCTCAAACTCCTGACTTCAAGTGATTCACTTGCCTCGGCTTCCCAAAGTGCTGGGATTACAGGCGTGCGCCACCATACCTGGCTAATTTTTGTATTTTTAAAATAGAGACTGGGGTTTCACCATGTTGTCCAGGCTGGTCTCAAACTCCTGACTTTAAGTGATCCACTTGCCTCGGCCTCCCAAAGTGCTGGGATTACAGGCATGAGCCAACATGCCCAGCAGGAAAGGGGCTGTTTTGTAAAGCAAAATAAGTTCTCATTAACCTAAATATTTTGAAGAAGATAATATACATACTGGAACACATGCTTATACTACCAAAGTCAAAAGATTATGTAGATTATTTTTCAGAGGGGACTTCTATCATCAATTACTTGTATGTGTTTATCGAAATATTCTTTGCATTCATAAGCATGCGTAAATGGATTTTTAAAAATCAGGTTAGCATGTTGTATTCACTGTTAAATTCTGAATGCTTTTAACTAAAATGCATCTTGAAAGTTGTCTATCAGTTTATAGCCAACTATAATAAAATTTCATTATATTTTCTATTTGCATTTTTTGTTTTCTTGCTGGTCATTTTAAGATTGGTGATTATTTTGCTTTTCTTTATACCTTTGTGAAATACATTAAAATTTCTATTTGTTGATCATATTAATGAGCCACATATGAATAATAACATATGCATTCACTTTTTTCTCGCTTTCATTCCCTCCCTTCCAAATCCAACTTTAATGGTTTATATTCTTAGATCCTCTTGTTTGTCTTTTATCCTCTCTACTACTATTCAATGTTTTAGCTGCTGAGGATACAGCAGTGAACAAAGCCACAAAAAATAAATCTCATGGAGTTTATATTCTAGTGAGAAGATACAGGCAATACATACATTTAATACATATTACACCATAAGATCTGTGGAAATAGTAAAGTGAGGTTGAGCAATAGAATGTGCTATCAGGAAGATGGTAAATTGCAGGAAGGACTCACTAATCACTTGCCATTTGAGTAAAGATATGAGAAGGTAAAGGACTGAGCTTTCTGATGTGCATTTCTTAGCGAAGACTATTCCTATTATATTTCTCTTTGACTTTTAAATTTTATTTATACATTAATTTCTCAATTTTTAATTCCCTAAATACACAAGTGTGAGACCTATGGATATAATGGCTGACTGTATTACATCATTTTATATCAAGGGCTTCATGAGCATCTGTAGGATTTGTTATCCATGAGGGTCCTGAAACCAATTTCCTGGGGTTGCAGAGGGCCAAATATATACTGTCCTATTATTTCCAATAACTTTTTCTTATTCTTTGAATATTCTATTTACATAAAATTCTGTTTTTATCTCATGTGCAAAATATCCTCTCGTTTCTGAGAGTATTATGCATATTTTTATTAAATAAAGATTTTTTTTTTTGGTCTTTCCTGGATGGCATATATTTTATGCTAATTTCCCTATTTCTGGTTTGGTCTTTGTCTTTAATTTTGCAATGTCTTCTCAAAGGTTATCTGTTTGTATTTTAGACTGAAGCATAAAAACTTAATGGGAGTTACGTCAACTGGTGAATTGTTTGTGTAGACTCATCAGATGAGAATCAGGGCAGTCCCAAATATCAGTATTTACAAATATTTTCTCTGGGACCATTTTGTTTCTTCAGTGAATAATCTCTTCTGTTCTCCTGCCTGGGGAGCTATATACCTGGATGGCAACCCTTTTGGTTGAGAGTCACATGAGGGAGCAAGGAGCCTATGTATTCAGTGGCAAGACTTTCGCTTACTCCCTCTGTTTTTAATAGAACACATCTCCCTCACTCTCCCGCTTCCTGCTCTCCCAGTCTAGCACCTCTAGGTCAACTTCTCCATGGAATACATGTGTAGTCCCCTGGCCCAGAGAAGTGGAGGAAAGGGTCTGGCTGGTTTAAGATCTCCTTGCGTAGGCTTTATTTACTGCTCTTGTTTTAAGCTCAAAAGCTTATCCTCAAGAGATTCTGCAGCAAGATGCAGCTTGCTTCTGGCTGGATGCCTCCTCAGCAAGCATTTTCGATTTTCTCAGCTCTGCTAAAGTTTCCATCCACCTTTTCCCTGTCTTTCTTCTGTTTCTTCACCTGCAAAACATGAAAAATAACAGCCATCTGGAATTCTTTCCAGCATGGTTATGGACATGAAATAAAATCATGGACTTGAAATCTTCTAACCTGTGCAGCCTCCTTTGTTGCCTTCTCCTCTGTGGTCCAGTTGCCTTCTTTTAATTTACTTAACAATTCATATTACTTTTTGCCTTAGGGATTGTTTCACATGTTCTTTCTTCTGCCTGAAATGTTATTTCCTATTTTTCTTAATTATTTTTATATAATATCAGATTCAAACCAAATAATATATATGTAAATTCTAGAAACAGTTGTATCATGAACAGTAAGTCAAACACACAACACAGAAAGCAAAACAGTACCATCTACTTCATCTGCTTTGTGTCTGTTCCCCAAGTCAACACCTTATCCTCTTCAGAATTAATCATCCCACATTCTATAAACAAAATTTATTTCCTGTATAGAAATATTCTATCACATATTTGTGTTTGAGTAAACATATATCATTTAGTTTGTTTGCTTAGTGCTTTATAAATAGTGTCAGGGTTTGTACAGTCTTCTGGACCATGTTGTTCTTTCCCAATATTAAGCTTTTATCCTCTATTCGTGTTATTGAATAATTCATTTCTTCTCATTGCTGTAAAATATGTTATCCTGATGAAATTTCAAAGTTGTTTATCCTTTATCCTACTCATGCAAATATATATTTGTATGTGTGTGTGTGTATATATATATATATATATATATAATGAACCATGCTATCATGAGCATTCTTATGTACATATGTCTTGATGCACATATGCAAAAAGACAGGATTTTTATTTGAAACAAGTGTCCCAGCAACCTTTTGGAGTCTTTCTGCAGCTAAAAATATAGATGATATGGAATGAGGAATTCTCATTCAACTGAACAGAGAGAGCTTAAAAAATTAAAATTTACAATGTGATTTAAGAGAAAACACCTTAAATCAGAGAATAATCCCTCCACTGCTTCTGATTTTTTTTTATTAACGATATGGCCTATTATGACTTACTATATGAGTAACAATATAGCATGTTTCATATGTGTTTGAAGTTAGATATTATTTCAAATTTGATTTGAATAAAAAACATTATTTCAAGTTTGAAGTTCAGAAGTTATTTTACTTTTAAGCACTTAAATAGAATATGACTATTAGAAAGAAAATAAGGATACCTTTAGGAAGAGTAACTCTGTAATACTCTTTTCTACAGAACGAGTGCTTGAAATTCTATTTTTACAATATGTTTAATGCATGTTTGTGAATGTGGCTCAGAACTGAAACTGCCCAATTTTTCCATTTTTCTTATTGGTTAGCTTTTCGGTAATTCCTTCCTCTTGTTCATTGAGAGTCATAATAACCATATACAGAAGTGAAAATGTTATAACCAAATTGCATATAGTAATGGCCTTATTATGTTTATCTACGTTTGACAATGACAGCAATACTACTGATTCTCAAATTGCTTGACCTTGCATTAGCAGTGAGCTTTATTCTCTATTCCTACTTGTAGAGTGCATGCAGTTAAGTCCATAAAGGTCCTTTCTACTCCCAACCTCAGCACCCTAAGCCATCTAAGTTAAAGCTGGAAATATAGTGTAGTGGTATTTATCATGTTCTTTGACCACCCAGAATATTCTATTTTGTAAATTTGGATATAATGCATTAAGAAAAAGTACACAAATAGTAAGTATACAGCTCAATACATTATTTTGTGAAAATACCTATGTAAGAACTAATGTTGGCAATTAAAGTAAACATGAATAAAACCTTCAAGAAGCCCTCAACATCCCACTTCCAAGTCACCAAACCCACTATTCCATTAGCAATGTGTGAGATTGTCAGTTGCTCTGCAACTGTGTTATTGTCACCTGTGGTAACAACATATATGGTCTTGTCAGTCTTTTTCACGTTAGCCATTCTAGTACATATGTGGAGGCATCACATTGTGGTATGAATTTAGAGAAATTCCATGGTGAAATTTGACCTCATAACTGGCTAGGTCCTCCAAGCCTAATTATCTCGCCATCTCTAAGATTTGGAGAATTACTAAATGTATCTTACTATGTTTAATTTCTACTTAATCTATTTAGAGTGGTTTCTGTTGTTTTCAACTAAGAATCCCACTCAGGAGAAATAATATGTGATGTTGGAAAGTAACTGAAAAAAAAGAAAAAAACCTGTTTACAGAAAAAATGGCAGAAAAACAGGAGGTACACACAGAGAAATAAACAGTTTTTTTATGGGTTATTGGAAATGGATAAGGACAGCTTAGGCAATGATATTATCTCTAAATAGCAGGCGTATTTTCTAACCCCTAAGTTCACTTTTGTAGTGATTCAAATGGAACTTTTGCCAGTCTATATGCTAAAATTTTCAGAAATACATAGGAACCATTTTGGGAAAGTGAGCAATGGATACAGAGGTTGGTTAAGGAGACGAGTTTGCTCCGAGTATAATATTAAGGAGAGAGAGATCACTAAAAAAAAGAGCAGAAAGAAATTGTAAGGATAATTTAGAGAGCTCTACTTTGCATCATGAAATACAGGTGCTTCTTGGCACCTTCAATAATCCTTTGTATTTCCACAAGCAAGGGTCATACCATCAACCTGTTTCTCTCTCAGTCTTGTGAAAGGAAATAAGCAATGTTCTAGACCAGGGATTTTCAAATGTAGCTGATCATCAAAATCACCAATTCTAGTCCTAAATCCTTATATAATTAATTGGAATCTCCATAGGTGGGGGGGTCTGAGAGAAAGGTGTTTTTTTTTTTTTAATCCTCAGATGATTTTGGTGATCATACAGATTTGAGAACTACTGACATGAACTTCAGTTTATAGAAGTCATGTATTTTATTTCATAACTTAGAGTTTGGGCAAGTTTCTTCTTGAAGAGGAAAACAAATAATTTATTCACCCTATCTACAGTCTTAAGGCGAATTTCAATTTTTATATATAAAGAGTTTAACAAAACTGCTTGACTCTAGTGACCATTGGACATTAGTATTTTCCTATGTTTCTTGATTTATTTCTGAATTTTTATTATATGATTTTTCCAAATTCAAATTTAAAGTAAAAATGTACTGAAGTCAAGGTCAGAAGTTTTGGATCTGGCTATTATCTCAGCTATTTTCTACCTTTGGGAAAACATATACTATCGTGAGCATCAATTTTCCTAATGTGTTAAATAATAATATTGCCAGACTTTGTGTGAACCTTATTTGAACATTTCTGTGTGTGTGTACATGTATGCATGCCAAGTTTTAGTTGCACAGAAAGTCAAGCACTAACTTTTTCTTTACTTAGGTGACATTGTATTAAAAGTTAGGAGAACTAATATAATACACTTCTCTTGCTTCTCAGTACCCTCACTGTATGACAGGTTGTCAGTATGACACTGTGTTTACTATTTAATTAGTGTTACATAACAGTTTGCAATTTTTCTCTTCAGTAAATTAATGAAATTATTTTGTCAATGTATCTTGTCTTTATGAAACTATCCACACGGTGGTATTACTTTCTTGATTTCTTCTAAAAGCACACCTTTGTTTTTGATGGGTTTTATTCATTTGACAAATATTTATTGACTACTCTATTTTTCAGGCACTGTTCTTGTTTCTGGAGATACAATAGTAAGTACATAGAACAGGTCTCCAGTTTTTGACAGATTTCATTCCAGTAGCTGGAGAATAATGTAAATGAAACAGTATCAATTCATCCATGCCTCATAGAATCTGAGCTGAAATCTATCACAAGTCCCTAAAATTTGGCCATTCACTCTTTTGTTAAACCAACATTTTTAGCATCAGAAAATAATTATAAAAGTATACAACTCTGGTTTTGTCTGGCACAGTACTGGATAAATTAAAGCCCTGGGGGGCTTTTACCCCATTATTTTTAGTGAATCTTATTGAAATATAATTTAAAATACACTTAAAAATAATATTTAAAATTCAGTGCAAAAGTCATTGAATTATTGTGGGGGAAAAGCCAATGAGTTTGTCACACATGAATGTTAAGTAGAAGTCTGGTAATAGCTTATAATAATCAAATACAACTGGTAAATTTCAGGTTAAGTAGAAAATAAGTCTTTCCTATTAGGCTGCATTGGCACTAAAGGTGGATTGTTTATTAAAAGATAAATGGGTGGGAAAAAGAGCAAAACTTGTTAGAAAAACTACTTGAAATAATGACAGGCAGTAGAAAGATTTTTCAGTCTCCAACCCTAGGATTCTAGAGCCAAAGCAGAAGAGACGAAGAGTTAGGTTCTGTGAAGGTCCAGCAGGGCTGTGAAAGATCCTATGAGAACAGGAACCTTAGAAAATTGGAACAGGATTTAAGTTGGTAGAACAGAGGACAGACTACTGCAAGTCAGAAAATCAGTCATGAAATGAGAAATGAATCAATGATTTTGTCAATTAAAATATAGGTAAACTAAAATTTTAAAAATGAAGATGAGGTTAGAAGAGATGGAAAGCCTAGATGGAATGCAGAGAATTATACTTGGTAGGAATGAATGTGTTATAGAAGAAGCATCCAGGATATTGCTTCAGACAGCTGTGTGTTTGTGAGCCACTTACACTTGGCTGGGGTATGGTTTTAATGACAGTTTCTAGCTGGATTAGGAAAGGGAAAGAAAGTACTGTTGAAGTCTGTTCAGTAATTAACAGGTGTTTATATACACATCATTTTATTCCATCTATGTCTTTTATTTTAAATGGAGAATCAAGATTTACAAAGGTTGGGATGAACAGAAGTCTCAGCAAGTTTGTAATAGAGACTAAAATGATCTGACTCCCAGACTAGTGTAGTTTTATACACTACTCTGTAGGCCACTTAGCTCTGACTGAGAAGGATTCCACCATTCCCTATTTTCTTTTTTCAATGAGACCATGAACTACTTCTATTCCGTTTTATTTCACTTTATTTTATTTTGACAAGTCATGCGTAGAAAAAAATACACAAGTCATCCATATCCGGTGTGTAGTTGTATTTATAAAAAACTGATATTTCCATCTTTAGTAAAATATTCATTAACAAGCTACTAGAGCCAAAGAAAACTGTTTGTATCTCAGAAGACATGCAGCCATGTGAGATTTATTGCAAAAACAGGCATTTCTTAGGCTTAATTTTCAAGGCTGGAAAAACTAAAATCATAATGGCAACATGTTAAATGTAAGTGTCGCCATTTTGATTTCTCACTCTCATGTCAGCCAAAGATTTGAAGGTGCTTCTTTCTTATAAGAAAAACTTCTCTGATAGGATTATTAATGAGCTGACACAGGAATGGAAAACATGACCAAAGGGTGGGGAGAACAGAATTCAATTCTTTAAGAATTTAAAGAAACCAACGTGGCCACAGTGCAGAGAATTGAGCAGCCCATGACAAGATGAGGCATGGTAGGAGCAAGATTGTGCAGGACCTAAAGGATTTATGCCAAAGATTTTGGTCCTTACCCTAAACTCAGTAGGAAGCCAATGGAATATTTTAATAAGAAAGTTGTACGGTCTGCTAAAGTTAGGTTTTCGTGTTTTTAGAGACAACTGTCTCTATAAATTGAAAAATTATTGGAAGGGGATAAGGGTAGAAATAGGGAATCCAGTTAAAAAGCTGTTAACAGTAGTATAGAAGAAGGGTTGCACTGGTTATCATCAGGGTGGTGTTAGTGGAAAAGGCAGTAAGAAAACAGATATGGGATAAGTTCTGGAGGAAAAGCCACCTGAACACAATATGAAATTGGACTTGAGGAGAAAACAGAATCCAGACAGTCTCCAGGATTTCTGATTTGTATAACCAGACAGAAGATTGTAGACCACCCAGATAGAAATCACTGGGAAAGAGAAGAGCAGTTGTTGATATAGGTCATTAAATTATCCCAGTAGATGCTTAGGATTGAAACATGTAGTCTTGGTGTTCTAAAGAATTGTCTGGGGCGTATCTCAAAATCATAAGAGCTATCTATGACAAACCCACAGCCAATATCATACTGAATGGGCAAAAACTGGAAGCATTCCCTTTGAAAACTGGCACAAGACAGGGATGCCCTCTCTCACCACTCCTATTCAACATAGTGTTGGAAGTTCTGGCCAGGGCAATTAGGCAGGAGAAGGAAATAAAGGGTATTCAATTAGGAAAAGAAGAAGTCAAATTGTCCCTGTTTGCAGACTACATGATTGTATATCTAGAAAACCCCATTGTCTCAGCCCAAAATCTCCTCAAGCTGATAAGCAACTTCAGCAAAGTCTCAGGATACAAAATCAATGTACAAAAATCACAAGCATTCCTATACACCAATAACAGACAAACAGAGAGCCAAATCATGAGTGAACTCCCATTCACAATTGCTTCAAAGAGAATAAAATACCTAGGAATCCAACTTACAAGGGATGTGAAGGACCTCTTCAAGGAGAACTACAAACCACTGCTCAATGAAATAAAAGAAGATACTAACAAATGGAAGAACATTCCATGCTCATGGGTAGGAAGAATCAATATCGTGAAAATGGCCATACTGCCCAAGGTAATTTACAGATTCAATGCCATCCCCATCAAGCAACCAATGAGTTTCTTCACAGAATTGGAAAAAACTACTTTAAAGTTCATATGGAACCAAAAAAGAGCCCGCATCGCCAAGTCAATCCTAAGCCAAAAGAACAAAGCTGGAGGCATCACACTACCTGACTTCAAACTATACTACAAGGCTACAGTAACCAAAACAGCATGGTACTGGTACCAAAACAGAGATATAGATCAATGGAACAGAACAGAGCCCTCAGAAATAACACCACATATCTACAACTATCTGATCTTTGACAAACCTGAGAAAAACAAGCAATGGGGAAAGGATTCCCTATTTAATAAATGATGCTGGCAAAACTGGCTAGCCATATGTAGAAAGCTGAAACTGGATTGCTTCCTTACAGCTTATACAAAAATCAATTCAAGATGGATTAAAGACTTAAATGTTAGACCTAAAACCATAAAAACCCCATTAGAAAACCTAGGCATTACCATTCAGCACATAAGCATGGGCAAGGACTTCATGTCTAAAACACCAAAAGCAATGGCAACAAAAGCCAAAATCGACAAATGGGATCTCATTAAACTAAAGAGCTTCTGCACAGCAAAAGAAACTACCATTGGAGTGAACAGGCAACCTACAAAATTGGAGAAAATTTTCGCAACCTACTCATCTGACAAAGGGCTAATATCCAGAATCTACAATGAACCCAAACAAATTTACAAGAAAAAAACAAACAACCCCATCAAAAAGTGGGCAAAGGACATGAACAGACACTTCTCAAAAGAAGACATTTATGCAGCCAAAAAACACATGAAAAAATGCTCACCCTCACTGGCCATCAGAGAAATGCAAATCAAAACCACAATGAGATATCATCTCACACCAGTTAGAATGACAATCATTAAAAAGTCAGGAAACAACAGGTGCTGGAGAGGATGTGGAGAAATAGGATCACTTTTACACTGTTGGTGGGACTGTAAACTAGTTCAACCATTGTGGAAGTCAGTGTGGCAATTCCTCAGGGATCTAGAACTAGAAATACCATTTGACCCAGCCATCCCATTACTGGGTATATACCCAAAGGACTATAAATCATGCTGCTATAAAGACACATGCACATGTATGTTTATTGCGGCATTATTCACAATAGCAAAGACTTGGAACCAACCCAAATGTCCAACAATGATAGACTGGATTAAGAAAATGTGGCACATATACACCATGGAATACTATGCAGCCATGAAAAATGATGAGTTCATATCCTTTGTAGGGACATGAAAGAAATTGGAAATCATCATTCTCAGTAAACTATCGCAAGAACAAAAAACCAAACACCGCATATTCTCACTCATAGGTGGGAATTGAACGAGAACACATGGACACAGGAAGGGGAACATCACACTGGGGACTGTTGTTGGGTGGGGGGAGGGGGGAGGGATAGCACTGGGAGATATACCTAATGCTAGATGACGAGTTGGTGGGTGCAGCATACCAGCATGGCACATGTATACATATGTAACTAACCTGCCCATTGTGCACATGTACCCTAAAACTTAAAGTATAATAATAATAATAATAAAAAGAAATGCAAAAAAAAATTATACTTAAAACAAAACAAAACAAAAAAGAATTGTCTAGTCTGCAGATAAAATTTTAGCAATCATGAGTATATGAGTGGTAATCAAAGCCTTCAGTGGGGATGAGTTTCCACGAAGAAAAAAAGTTTGGAATAGTAAAGAGCATGGCTAAGTCTGAGTTGTGAGCTACTGTGAGAGCTCAGTGGAAAAGTCTGTAAAAATAATAAAGGAGAACATAGCATTACCTAAGTCAAAGAAAGGGAATGTTTTAAGGAAGTGTGTTTAGCATTATGGAACCTTTTGAGAAGTCAAGAGAAATGAAGACTTACAAAATGGCAATTTGCCATTAATAGCGCACGAAAAGTTCAGTAGGCAGCCAAAATGATCTTTGTTCATGTCAGAGAGGGTTATTTGTTCTGCAGTTGTTTAAATGATGAAGAGAGAGAAAATGTATATTTGTGTGCAGGATGGTCTGAAGTGTTATTAATTTTCTAGGACAAATGTGGGGATACAGCTGGTGACCCTGGAAAACAATTCCAATGAAAAGACACTAAAACCAGTCTTGGAGATACTTACTGGCATGGCCTTAAATTGGATTTCTCCTGCTATTTCATTCTCAGCATGGTTTTCCATGGCAACTATGCTTAAATAGTTCTGCTAGGTGAACAGGTCAATACCATTATAGCCATTTGTCTTTCAGCTCTTATTTATTATATTAGGAGGACCATATTTTTGTTTGGGAGCCCAATAAAGTTTGGTCAAACTGTCATTATTTCTATTTAAAGATTTTTAAAGTTTTTTTGCAAGCAAGAAAAAAATTTAAAACTAAGTATAGGTGAGGAATAATTTTTCTTATATAAATTAATAATCAAATTTTGAAGAGGAGAATATAACTTTTAAATATAAAAACCTTATTATGTCCCATTAGAGAACAGAAAGTTCTAGGTTTTAAATAGCTTTACAAATCAAATAGTAATGAGAAGTAAAACAGATGACTTTATGGAGCTCAACACACTGTTGAATATTTAGTTTTGTTATTGAAGACTATAGATAGAAGATAATGAATCATTAAACTGAAAACATAAACATATTTTTTAATTTATGAAATATGGTAATACGTTGATTTTAATTTGGATCCATACTACTCAATAGTGAAAAAAATTATGATGTAATAATATTTTGACTGACAGTGTGAAAGTGGTGTTCACAAAGTAGCTTTAAACAATGGAAATGTGAATCTACAGAATGGCCTTAAAACTTGGTGCAAGTCTTTCTAGCCCATATGTACTGCTATGTGCCCCAAGAAGTCACAGACATTTTGCTGCCACTATTTATGTGCCAACAATTTTGGCCACGTATTGAATTGATTTAGCTTTGATTTCATGAAAAAGGAGCTCCATAATTGTTAGCGTTAAAAATTATTTAATTTGTAGTTTAAAAAATGCCTTCATTAGATCTTTCTTTCTAAGTCAAATGCTTTTTTGAAGTGGAAATAAAACAGTTAACATCAATGACTCAATTTAATTTTAATTCTCATGGAAAATACTGTCTGAAATTGCAAACTTTAGAAATCAAATGCCATTAATTCATCACAAAACTGAGAAAGAATTAAAGCCTAATTATTCATTGAATATTTACTACAGTTCAGAGTTTGGTTTGATTAGCTTATGTTGATTTCCTGGAAAGATAATACAAGTTGAGGTTTATCTGAGTCCTGAACTTCTGGTTAACGTGGATCACTTCTTCTGAGCATCATCTGAACTTACAAATGTTTAACTGCTACTTAACCATTTATAACAAAATAAAGCGGAATTGCTTACTCGGAAGCTAGCGATTTGACACAATATTCTATTTTAAGCCGGCAAATTCCACTTGGGACAACAATTCTGTAAGTCTCAGGGAGAACCAAACACTTGACTCATGAAAGATGTTAATATTTGAAAATTTTAGCAGGCAGAGATTTCCATGTTTCTGGAAGATGGTGAAGATGGTCAGTCAGCTTTCACTTCATAGCTACTCTCCCATTTCACTGTATTCAACTGTTTCAAATGGTGTTAGTAACACAAACAAAAATTTAGATGGGGACAACGTGATAAGAGTTTTTGGTTATATAGTCTCTCTCTCTCTCTCTTTCTGTGTGTGTGTGTGTGTCTCTCACACACACACACCACACATACACACACACACTCACAAACACATTGTGCCATAGATTCTTTGAAGTTTATTGTACCACTACTTTGGGCATGGTGTTTCAATTTTGCCATATCTTCTTATGTATAGAATAAACAATATTAGAGCCCTTGGAACTAATAATACAAATTTAGAGAGAAGGGGAATAACCTAGTATGTCTTGTACGTGTCATTTCTGCATGATCTATAACTAGACAAAGCCAAATGAGAGATGTTGGTCCCACAAATCATTGAATTATGGTTTATTAAAGCAAGCATGCTCTAATCCACAAGGAAATGTAATGACATAAATGTTAATAATTCCATTTACATTATGGTACATGAAAGTGAGGCTCTTGATAAAGGGTAGATAAGAGGGTTACTCTCTTCTTCTGTCAAATACTCTTTGTGCACATATTCTATAGATTGGTTTTCTACCATGAAGGTTTTCCAAAATTGCTGGCCAACCATTATTTTATTGTCTTGCCTGGATTTTCCTGTTTCTGGATCCAACACTTCACAGGAAGCTGTATGCTCCTGAATACATTTGACAGTAATATTAATACAGGTCTTAACTGTAACATTGGCAGATGAAGATTTGGAAACCAAAGAAACAAAAGGTGACTCTTGTTATTTGCATGTCTGGAAAGTTGACCATCTGTTCATTTCTACTCTGCTAGTTTATGAACTTGTGGTAGTGTAGGTATGGGTATAGTATAGGTTAGCATTTCTGAATAATGGAATTGAGGCTCACTGTGTCACAACTGTGTTTTGCAAGACATAAACCATTAATGACAGATACATTACTAATAATTGCAAAACCACCTTGAATTACAATAACTTACCAGATTATCATTGCAATTATACCATTTTCGCTTGCATTCAGATATCAGTTTTTAAGTGTGAAATATAATATTTAAATTACACCACAAACATGAGAAATTGAAGAAATTGGTCTAAACCTGGCTACCAAAAGAGGCCTCAGAGTACGGCCTTGCTCCCTTCACCAAAATGATGAAGCAAGAAGGTATCATCTATGAACCAGACAAGAGGCCTTCATCAGACCTTGAATCTGCTGGTAGCTTGATCTTAAGTTTCTCAGCCTGTAGAACTATAAGAAATAAATTTATGTTGTTTATAAGCTACTCAATCTGTGATATTTCACTATTTTTATAAGAGTACTTATCCTATTCATGAGAGCTGCCCTTATCACCTGGTCATATCCTAAAAGTCCCCACTTCCTAATACCATAACCTTGGGAGTTAGGATTCCAACATACTAATTTTGGGGTTAGGGGAACAGACATTAAGTCCATAGCATTACATATGTAACTACAGATAATATAGATTATGTGTATGTGTGTGTATAGGCTTATCTGTATAAATATATCACAGATAAAATAGACCGAAAAATCAACATTTCTATTGATCATAGCCCTTTCACTACTGACCACATTGTATATAAATCTATTAACCTGATAATCTTCCCATTAATGTAAGTAAACAACTTGAAACTGAGGGCTATGCATTGAGTTTTCAGTGATTTATAGTGTGGCTGCCATTTTGCAAGCTTGGTCAAATAAATGCATGATGATTTGATACTCAGGTATTTATTTTTTCAATATCATATACAGATAAGGAAAATTCTAAGGCTGCATGTGATACTACTCCTCTATTTGTCCTTCTAAATAGAGTATCTGCATTTCTCCCCTCTGTTCTATGCTCCAGGAGGCTGAACTCTATGGAGTACATGAGCAGGCTTGTTAACATGCCAGCTTCAAGTTGAATTTGGTCTGTGGGGAACTCTAGCAGGAGATCGGTGGTGGGGAGGAGAGTGGGGTCAGGAAACTTATTACACTAACTCGCTCCAGTAGCTCTGACATTGACTGCCGGAATTCCTAACTGAAGATCACAGCTCTGTCAGGTGGCTAGCTCCTTCTCTCTCTTTAGCTCTCTCCCTGTCTTCAGGGCCTGGTAACAAGTCTCTATTTCCAACTCATCAGGCCTGAAGACATTGGTGGTGCTCAGCTCCTTGATGTTATTGGCCTAGTAACCTGCAGTCTCTTGAACTCTCCCTTAAACATGCACACACTTTTCTAAACAGTTCTTTATTAAATGCTCTTTAAATTATCCAATTTCCTCATGCCTTCTGTTTCCTTCCAGTGCTTTACCTGGTACACTCATCTCAGTGGAGTAAATCCTGAATATAGAAAATGTTCTTACATTGCCAAATCATGTTGATTTAATTTTTAAACTACTAATTCAAAGTTATTCATGGAAATGTAATTTTTATTCCAACTAGAGAGTGATGTATTTATAAAAACCAATTCCCTAATGGCATTTAAAATCAAAGCTCTTTGACAATTTTCACATTGACTTAAAGAAGCAAATAATATATAATATTCAGTTAAACTGCCACACCATGAAATGATGCTACTAAGGATTTATTGTGACTTTTTACTCTTGGATATAGCTAATAAAAGTATTTGAGATTAACAAGGTATGACTTCCCTACCTTCCCCTGTTGTGACATTAATGACTTATTCCTCTCCTTCACTCACAGTAGTTTCCTGTGGTTGTTTAAACTTGGAAGCTTATTTTCTACTCAGGGCCTTTATACCTGAATGGACCACCTTCCTCCTAGATCATTCTGTGTTTTACTCCTTTCCCTTACTCAGGTCTTAACTCAGATGTCACCTTTACAGAGGCTTCCTCTATTCTATTGAAAACACACACCAGTCTGCCCTCTGCCACCTCCTAGAACACTAACCTGAACATGTGTTCTTTAGTATTTTCACTATCTAAAAATATGTTATGTATGTAGGTATTATTGGTATTCGTCCTCCCCTGACATATACTCTGTAGGAACAAGGACTGCGTTTTTCTTCAGGGGCTAGAACAGTCCTTGGTAAGCAATATTTTTAACAGCATTATACACACACACATACACATACATATCTATCTATCTGTCTGTCTATCTATCTGTAACGTACAATCTAATGTGTATAGTTTAATGCACTGAGTTGTACAACCATCTCCGCAATCAATTTAAGAATATTTTGTTACTTCAGAAAAAAACCTTTACCCTTTAGCCACCCCCCCACCGCTACCTCCTCAGTACGCCAAGCACTGGACAACCACTCTTCTTTGTGTCCTAAAGCTTTGCCTATTCTGACCATTTTATATAAATGGAATTACATAATATATGGTCTTCTTTTGTGACTAGCTTTTTTTTTCACTTGTCACGTTTTCAAGATTCATACATATTGTGGCATGTGTCAGTACTTCATTTCTTTTTATGGCTGAATAATATTTCATTGTATGAATATAACACATTTTATCCATTCATTTATCAGTTGACAGACATTTGTTTTTTTCTTTACTAGTTTTTGGCTATTATGAAAAATGCCGCTATAAACACTTGTGTACAAAATTTTACATGAACCTATGTTTTCATTTGGGCATATACTTAGCAGTAGCGTTACTAGATTATATGGTAGCTCTCTGCTTAATTGTCTAAGGAGCTGCCAGACTGTTTTTCAAAGTGGTCATACCATTTTACGTTTCTACCAGCAGAGTATGAGGGGTCCAATTTTTCCAGTTCTCACCAACATGTTCTATTACCTGTCTTTTTTATTATAGTCATTCTAGTAGATGTGAAGGCAACTATTATTTTTCATTGTATATACAACTCAGCATATCCTAATTTAAGTCAAATCATAAATACTACATATAATCTTGTATTTTACTTGATTTTAAAAGGTAATAGCATGAGTTTGAGGACTAAATTTTTTGGAAAAAAAAAGAGTAAATATGCATTGCTTTATTCTATTACCAGAAATCTTCAGCAAACTACTCTTAGGGACTTCATGTTTGTGTCCCCACCACCCAAAATTTATATATTGAAATTCTAATTCCTAATGTGATGTCATTTGGAGATGGGGCCCTTAAGAGGTAAGTGGGTCATGAGGATGCAGCTCTTATGATGGGATTAGTGTATCTGTAAGGAGAGACACAAGAGAACTTGCTTTCCCCCATTCCACACACTCTCTCTGTGACATTTCATGCCATGTGAGGTAATAACAGGAAGAAAATCCTCACCAGGAATTGGATGGGTCACTACATTAAGCATGGACTTTCTAGTCTCTGAAACTGTTAGAAATAAATTTATATTATTTAAGCCATCCAGTCTATGGTATTTTTGTTCCAGAAATCTGAACTGATTAAGACAACTACAATTATTGTTTTCCTAGAATAATAGCAGTTATAGAATGATGTTACTCCAAGTGCTCTATATAACGTAACAATTGATCTCAATTTAGCAATGGGCAAGAGAAATTTTAGAGTCTTCTCATGGTCTAAAAATACCAATAGCCTTAAAGATAGTGGCAGAAATATACTTGGGGGGGAAGGCTTGTGTGTTTGTGTGTCTGCAGGGGGCATAGGATGGGTATTTTCTATCGTTAAATTTTCCTCCCCAGAGAAGGAAGAAATGGATCATTTGCAACACATTCTACTTAGAATCTGTTTTTCCCCATTTGAATACATGCTCTTTTAAGGTGTGGAGGAGACTCCCTTTATAGAGTAATAGATTGCAGATTTGCAACCTATCAACAACGACTTGTCAAATGTGAAGAGGCATATATTTACAAGAGAGATTTCAACACTTTGTGGGCAGACCATAATCCCAGGTCTCTTTTAGGCTAATAAAAAAAAGAAATTTTAATTCCATTGAAGATTAGCTGATAATAAAAATTATCACAACATAGACAGAGAAAATAAATTTGTAATTGTTTATTGTACCTTTCATATTTACCAAAATGATGTCATGAATTTCCTTAATTTGGCCTGTCATAAATCTCAAATGCTAGTGGTAGTCTATAAACAACTAAATGCAATAAATGAAAATATTTTTGATAGCATGCACAAGTAATATGTATTGTTTTTCCTTTTTTTCTGATGATGATCATAAAGCACTTATGAGATAACATGTTTGTGTGACACAACTCTCATAGTAACCAGAAAAATGTGCTTGTTACTGAAGTTCAATACTGACTGATAATAGCTAATACAAAAATGGCCACAGAAAAACGTTACAGATTATTTATTTTACTATCACCTTATTATTTTTATCCATGGTATTTGGATTATACTTGGAACATATCAGAATATTTTCATGTAAGATAATATTGCAAATAAAATAAAAATTCTGTGTGATTTTATTTTATTTATTTTTATTTTTTTTGAGACAGAGCTTCACTCTTGTTGCCCAGGTTGGAGTGCAATGGTGTGATCTTGGCTCACTGCAACCTCTGCCTCCCAGGTTCAAGCGATTCTCCTGCCTCAGCCTCCTGAGTGCTGGGATTACAGGCATGCGCCACCACGCCCGTCTAATTTTGTATTTTTAGTAGAAACAGGTTTCTCCATGTTGGTCAGGCTGTTATTGAACTCCCCACCTCAGGTGATCCGCCCACCTCGGCCTCCCAAAGTGCTGGGATTACAGACATGAACCACTGCGCTCAGCCTGCTTTGTGATTTTATATGTATATATCAAATCAATTCAGGGCAACTTCTCCAGCCCTGCATTCTCTTTCCTTCCTTCCATCTCCGCCATCCTTACCTCTATTGAGCTTATTCTAATGGGTGGAAAAGACAATGAAAATATATAAGAAATAAATATGAATGTTTTGAACCACAAAAGAAAGAGTGATAGGATTGGTGGAGAAGGGGCGTGTATGTAAACAGAGAGTCCTAGGGGCAAATGAAGGAGGAATGGCTGGGGCAGAAGAAACAGCAGATGCAAGGAGACAGGAGTAAGCTTGCAACACTTAAGGAGCATAAAGGTGGCCGGTGTGGTTAGAAAGATGTAGGTGATGGCAGGTAAAGTCAAAGAGGGAATGAAGACTGTGGAAGAGCTTGAACTGATTAATAACCACATCTAGTCTGTATTTCAGCTTCCATCTAGCTGCTGTGTTGTACACAGACTGTAGTGGGAATACTCGTGGAAGCAAGGTGGGTGGTAGGAGGCCGCTGCAATAATCCACTTGAGACATGATGGTGCTTTGGACTAGAGTGTAAGCAGTAGGTTAGAAAGAAGAATATATAAGATAGGATATTTTGGATATAGAATAAGAGAAAAAGAGAAGTCAAAGGTGTCATATAGGTGGGTGGCATGATCTTATGAGTTTTAGTGCTGTGGCAAAAAAAAAAAAGAAAGAAAAGAAAATCCTAATGCTTAATCTACTCTCTGGACAAAGAAAATAACATGGGCAGTTTTCCAGTTGTACAAGAAAATAACAGAAATTGATACATTAATGTATAATAAGTGATATCAGGTAATGTCCAATGGTGGTTTGGTTTTTGTCAAATCGCGTTAATTTTCATATTGTTCTAATATGTTTTTATAGCTTTCTGGAATAATAATAGAAAACAAAATCATCAGATTTAGCATTCTTTGGCTAAGCAAGGACTTTGTAGAAGTTTCACTTGTTCTCTCTCATGATTGGTATTTCTGTGGTAGAGATTAGAATAACCTGTGCCAAGGCCACAAAGGCTCTAACACATCAAGGTCAAAGTGAATTAAACTGTTTCATGTCCCAAAACATGTTGAGTAATCTGGAAACAGAATTGAATCCAAGCAGAGTGAAATGACAAGTGGTTTAACTTGTCATTATGGAAATATGACAATTGAAAATATGTGCTGTTATGTGTGGCTTTGTTTCTCTTTTCAATTCATAATATAATGGAATTTTAACTGATTGTTAAATTGTCAAATATCAAAGCCCTCAAGATTTATACAAATTACATTGTTTATGTTATATTTTTTTGAGCAGGAAGTTGCTTTTTAGGAATATAAGCATTAGAAAATAGTGAAATCCATAGTGCTTTCCTTAAGCAATGTTTCTAAATGTAACAAAAATAGTATTTTTTTTTTTTTTGCTTCTAGACATTTCCAAAACTTGCTGCTGACTACTAAATTATTTTGAAATAAAAAACGGGACCAAGGATAGAAATAAACAAGTATAAACGAAAAGTCTCAAGTTTTTCTGCCTTGAGGAATCCAGATGACTAAGAACTGAGTTAACTGCTTTTAATTAGAGTGACATCCAGGATTTCACATGAGTTCCCTCCTGAAGTATTCTGATGCTCTTTACACAGTACCCAACATTCCATAGATATTGCGTGCTCTATACCAGGGGAGTTGATAAAGCACAGCAAAATGCCTTTTTAAAAAATTGGAACAGAGCTACTGATATTCATTTAGAATTGTGACAAGGACCTTATGATACTCAAAGCTGAAAATATTTACAATCTGGCCCTTTATAGAAAAAGTTTGCTGACTTTTGCTCTACAGTATGGCTCCAAGCATCCTACTATGCCTGTGGGAATGTCCTTTCGCCAGTTCCTCCAGAACCCTGCAGTTGTCTCTGGACTTCATCTTAATGCATGGCATGAACCGCTTACCTAAGATCTTAAAATTTGCCAAAGACCAAGTAGTAATATTTAACAAAAATTTAAGAAACCAAGTAGGGAAAGACAGTGACTGGAAAGTAATGTTGTTTGCTCGCCTGGGTTTTGGCTACATAGGCATGTTTAGTGTGTGATAATTCAAGAAGCCACACATACTTATGTGCACAGATTACAGTTCAATCAAAAGTAAAAGCAATGCATTGAGAGCTTGTGCATAAGGTGAAGGATTATAGATCTGGACAGAAAACAAATAAATTGCAACAGTGTCCTATTCTGCTTTAGCCATGGGCCATGCTTCTGGAAGTGGGATACTCTTGTTACTTCTCAAATAAAGGGAATGTTGAAAATTTGATATATTCAGAAAAAAACATTATTAATTAAAATATGCTTTTGCCCACATAAATATCTCCTTAGTCACAGACCATGCTTCCCTGCTGGGATGTCCTTTCATTTTCTCCTTAGCTCAGAGCTGGGGGCACCATTCAGTTGTTCAGAAGCCCCCAAATATCTTCCCTTTACCCCAATCCAGACTCCTCACTCTCTGCCTTTCCCAAAGAAAGGAGGAGATGTTTTCTTACATACACTCCGTTCCCCATTCAACCCCATAATAATACCTACAATGACACAAGAGTGATCACAATGAACTCAGAATATCATTATTATGCAGATTAGCCTGGCTCTTGGTTCTCTTGCATATCCTGAATACAATTTTCCTTTACAGTGAAATAATCAAAATACCTATAAAGGTCCGCCCCAACCCCACTCCACCAACCACAAAAAAAGTAAAAGAGTTATTGACCTTTAGGATGACTTTTCCTCCATACCCTGAGCATCTAGTGAGTAATCCACACTGTAACCACCTTAAAGTTGCAGGTTGCCCACCAGGAGAAGCTCACAGATCTGTTGGGAAATTATCAGATTTAAGAATCAACACTCTATCTTTTGTGATGCATTGCTTCTTGCTTTATGTGAGAACCTGCGCACTAGATAAGTTATTCTAGCCAGATACCTACTATTCTAGGGTACAGTGCCCCCAACAGTCTTTGATAAGAATCACTGTATTCGTGTATAAGTTAGTTATTTAAAAGCACATACATTGATGAAAACAACATTTGGTAACTTTGTCCACAGTTTAAACAGACAGAGATAGGTTTCCAGCTGCTACCACTATACAACAAAAACTAAATTTACACTGACAAAAATACTTTGATATACTCAAAATTATATTTAACTGTTTATTCTGAGGTTGTTTTCCTAAGCACCCTTGCTTGGTTTCCCCAAACTTAATTCATGGAAATTAAATCATAAACCTTCGCTGATCCTTGTGCTCAGAAATTGCTCCAAGCAACACCCCTTCAACCCGATACTACAAGTCATACACATACTGTTGACTAAGAACCTATTATCTCTTACACCCACCTAACTTTTTCCATCCATCATCCTGGCTTTGCACTAAAAGTTCTGACTTCATGTGCTTAGCCTGGGGTGCCTCCCTGCGATGCTGCTACAATCTAACAAAGCTATTATTGCATCTGTAAGTGAGTATTCTCTCAGGCAGGTTGTTTAGAAGTAGAATTAATGCTATTAAATGAAATGCTTTTATATTTATGGGTATAATCCTCACAATCTGAAGAGGACTGTTCAATGGGGAGAGACTTAGATTTTAGGCATAATCTGCAAATTATATATTATTCTTTAATTTAATATGACCGTATTGCTGGAGTCTTCTAATTATTAGTACCTGTGTTAGAAGTGGTGGTGGTTGGGGGTATGCAACTCAAAAGATGCATAAGATACAGTCTCCACTCACAAGAATCTCAGGGCAAGATGTTGCCTAGCCAAAATACTATTAGGGCTTGAGGTAGAGCCACGAACCATCCTGATTTCCCAGGACATGAGACTTTCAGCAGTAAATACAGAAGAAACAAAAAGGAACAGTTGGTCACTCTCCTGGAAAGTCTGGTGTACTTTCTTGAAAACCATCTCCAAAAGAGAAGTTTCAACTAACTTTTTCTATAAAGGGTTTTGTGGGCTGCATTTTTTTATTGCAACTATCCAATTCTGCCATTGTAGCATGAAAGCACCCATAGACAATAGGCACATTAATAAGTGTGGTTATGTTCCAATAAAACTCCATTTACAAAATGAGGCCAAGAGCTGGATTTGGCCCATTGGCTGTGCTTTGTTGATTCTACAACTGAACCCCTCTTATGTTAAAATTGTCTGCTCTGGTCTCCATTGATTTTCACATATATTTAGGCATATACAAACCTGTATTACTATTTGATTTATAAGGCTTATTAATATTGTTGCCATCATATGTATTTATAGAAGGAGTGTCATAGAATTTAAAATATCGCAAACACATGAACATATAGGAAATAGGGTTACTATATTAAAAACTATTGTACCAGTCTAATCCCTGGTATCATTCTCAGCTTTACCTCTTATAATCTTCTTATGCATTTATTTAGGTAGAAGTCTGAAAAGGAATTGGAGGAGGGTACATTTACTATATAGTTCTATATGTCCCACTGCATTTCACTGTTTTGATTATGCTTTGTTAATTGTACCTCTCTCATCTACCTTGTATCTATATCGCTTCTTGATAAATATTTTCCAAATTTAAATTCAATGGAAAGATGTGATATCTTTTCGAAAGATAGCTCAGTTGAACATCATCTCCCTTCCCCCCGCTCCAGTAACCCCATTCCTTTCCTCCTACCTTCCATGCTCTCTTCGGTCACCTACCATTGTACCTACTACATCCTCAGTTGGAATGTCCTTTTTTTTTTTTTCTTCGGTCAAACTAAAACTGACCATTCTTTAGACTGCAGCTCAATCGTTGCTTCTTCAGGAAACTTTCCCTAACCTCCTTGAATAGGTCCAACTCACTATTATAGAGTCTTATATAACAGATGTTCCTTGTTTTTCTTTTTCCTTTAAGCATTTGTCATAGCTGCAATTTAGTGATTTGATGTTTGATATTTAAAATTTTTAGAAATGTCTGTCTGCTCTTCTATATTGTAAACACTAACAAGATAGTGTCTGGTTTTGCTCACCACTTTATTCCCAAAGTGTAGCATGATACCTGATACAGTGTATGTTTAATCAATAAATTTAATAAAGGGATATTTAATGAAGAAATAAGTGAAATTTTAATTTGACAGAAATGAGACACTAAATACTTAGGAGATAGAAGAATTTATTTTAGTAAAATCAGTATTGGTATGAGTTTCAAAGGAAAAAAAATTTGACTTGCTATTGCTATGTAAACATTTAAAAATGTGTATTGTAGACATCACTGGACAACAGTCTCCTTGCATTTTTAATTATCAAACATTAGTAAAGAAGCATGCATTAGTGTATAAAATGTTTCAGATTCATAATGGGATTTTATTATGATAACGTTCAGCAGTGTGAAAAATTGCTGCCTAATTAAAATTTATTTCTATAGTCCTACATTGTTTGCAAATCAAGATATTGACAGCCAGTATCACAATTATAACTTAATCTTGCTTTCTTCTGCTGGGGCTGCTATTAGAATTTTCTTTTTCTTTGCCAATATGGATGTTACATGAAGTGTTGCTTTTGTGTAATGATGGAAAGATTGAAGCTCTTTCTATATTCAATACAAAACTAAAGAAGGGATTCATTGTATATTGTTAATCAATTACTATGTGTGTGTGTCAGTTAATGGCAGCTTATCTTCAGAATGCTGTGTTTTTCTTTCTCAGAGACTATAGTGACTTAAGGCCAGCACAATGTGCATCCACCTGAGTAGAAAGGTGAGAGGGCATCTATGTACCTCATTATAAAAAGTTATTGCAAAGTTACTTAAGGAATCCCAGTGGAAAATGATCAAAACAGAGGTGAGGGTTTCACTTGATTTTCCTGGGCTCATGTTTTTAGTGATCATGGCATCGGTTTCAAGGACTTCGTCACTGAGCTAAAATTTCTTAACTTAGTGTAAATTTTGCTTGTTAAGCTGTGAAAAGTCAGTCTAGTGGTTCTCAATCTTGGCTGTACATTGTAATCACTTGGGAGCTTCAACAACTACTGATGTCCACATACTACCCCTCACAATTACTGTGTAATTGGTTTGAAATGTAACCTGGGCAGCAGGATTTCTGAAAGCTTCCTGGGTGAGTCTCATATGTAGCCAAGTTTAAAAACCATTGATGCAGGAAAATTCAGACTAGGAGGAACTTTAGAGATGTCCAAACAACAGCAACAACAACAAAAATACTAAGGTCTTCTTTCAATGGCCCTGATTTACCTTTTTATTTCCTTGTAACTGCTATTCAAGGAGTGTTCCCTAGACAAGCATCATCATATCACCTGGGAGGGTGCTAGACAGGCAGAATCTCAGTCTCAGATGTATGCCAACTGAAATTAAGGCTGTTGGGGCAGAGATAATTTGATAAAGGTTTATTGAAAGCCAAATTTGACTATAAACCCAGGAAGACACAGCAACAAATTCGGGCATGTTCCGAAGTCTATTACAAGTTGGAATGTTTTTATAGGCAAGTGTAGGAGAGGGAGGGGTACTCCTCACATCGCAGTTTTTTTTTTTTTTTTTTTTTTTTTTCATTGGAAGGTACAAAACAGTGGTTACAATCAATGGTACAAATGAAAACATACAGGCTAAAATGTGTTACCTGCAAGTCAATCAGTAAAACTTCATGATTCAGAAACAAATTGGTGTCCATTTTAATGTCAGTAGATTATGTATTAATCAGTATGTCAACTATTGAGAAACTCACGATAAGATTTAAGGGACTTACAATAAGATTCTTTACTCAGAAACAAGACATAAGCCATGAATCATAAGGCCTTCTCCAGGTTGTTGATTTGGAGGCCTGCCAAATGTGACCTGTAGGTTATCATTTACTAAATCAGAATCTGCATTTTAACATGCATGTTTGAAAAATGTGTGTTTATAGCACATTTATTTTTCTGTTCATTTTATTTATTGCTTCTTCCAAAGTTTTTCCAGTCTGCTTATTTTATGCTATCAAATAGACATAAGATATCACTGGAGTTAATGGCTAATCCTTTTGCTTCATGAAAATAGATGATCATTTAAGTCCCCCAAGTATGAAGCTTCTAAGTTAGAAATTCTCCAGTTACTTGTACAGTCTAAGTTTCTTTGAATATGGAAATTTGTTTCTAATCATTAAAAAACCTTTTATTACATAATTTCCAAAAAATACCTATTGTTTTTATGTGGCATATGTCTTATGGTTGTGAGTGTTGGATTATGCTTTTTATTATATACTGCATATATATATATACATATATATATGTATATATATATATATATATGCATTTTATTATGTATTTCAAATTCTGGTATGTTATATTCCTGGTAAAGTATTTTTCAGGAATTCAATGGATTTTTTGTTCTGAAGACTGATGTTTCAAAGATAAAATGTTTTTAAATTCTTCTAATGCTGTATTTTATTTTGAACCTTCAACAAAGAACATTTTCTGATGTCTCGGTGTTAACTGTGAAGAATACTTGGGTGCTTTCATTTACCCTTTCGTTATAGCAATAGGAGAATTCGCATCAGTTTGAGTGGATAGTTTCATAATAAAAGTCAATCCAGTAGTGAAACCATTGTGATGAAGCTTTGTCCAGCATTACAAATTACATTTTAATGGGTTAGAAATAAATTTTGATTAGTTCTGTCTTTTTGTTCTTGGATTAAATGTAGAGCAGTTCCTTGCATGCTGAATCAGCACTTGTTATTAGCACTTTACTCCATTTAAGTTGGAATTTTATCTATTCCACTCCTCTCCCTTGACATAGCACAACTAAGCTCCATATTGAAGTTAATAGGAATAACATAAAACAAGCTTGCCTTCTATGCTACAATGACAAAAATTAATTAGTTCATGATTAAGGATGATGATGTGGCATTGAATTTCCAACCATGTCATTTTCTCACACATCTTGTGACATTTTGCAACAGTTGGCTCATTGCTAGTTGTAATTTTATAATGTAGTGCTAGTGGAAATTATTTTCTGCAGTTGAAATTTTTTATGCTTGATAAAGAGACACATGAGCCTTTTGGGAAAAGAAAACATTCTGGCAGAAGTAGAGACTTGTTTTGACTTTCACACTAACCTATGTGTTGGATGAGATTGACTAGTTAGCATGGACATGGGTGAAAGTTAAACTCTCTAATTCAAGGAATTTTCACATAACTGTATAAAGTAGCATCTCACTCCTCAGTCCCATGCCATTTAAATTAAAGGCATATTCTCTGGCTATGCCAAATGGAGTGAGAATGAAATGCTCACTCCATTTCATGATTTGTGAAATGCAGTGTTCATGGTGTCCAACCCTTTTATTTATTTATTTTTGATGTAGAAAAATTACTTTTTGAAGAACCAGTGGCTGCAATATTTCCAAGTTTGGTGCAAATCCACAGAACACGAGACCGTAATGCAACACAAAACAACACAAGAGAGCAATTGAATAGTCTCCATGAGCTTCTTCAACCATTTGCACAACTTCCTACTTTATAATGCCTTGGCTCTGAATCTTTACTCTCTTCTGATTTTTCATCCATTAAATTATGCCTGAATTATTGCTTTCTGACTGTTGATTTATTTGGATCCTGGCGCCTTGGCTTTTAATTTTGCCAATCAGTCTGCCTAAATCAGCTTCTTTCACTGCAGCAATCTAACCTGGGATCCAGGCTAGGTTTTCTGGATCCCAGGTTCCTGCTTGTCTTACCAGAGGAAATGGTCACAATCTGACCCCTACACATTTTAAATCTTTTGCTTGTCTTGAGTTAATGGCTAAAGCTCAAAAAATGAAGAAATAATATTCAACGTTTGAATGTTCCCTTCTTTAGATAAAGCTGGATCAGGAGGTTTAGGCTGTATTTCTTGTCTTACTGAAGTGAAACACAGTGAGGTGAACCACTTTTCAGAGCTTATTTAGGCCTCCTGAAAGTGATAAGCAATGCATGTGATGAAAAGGTAAGCGTCAATGCTGGAGGCTTTAATCTTCATCATGATTAAATGACAAAGTACGTAAAATTTCCTGACTTGAATCTCCCAGTAAATATTCATTTTAAGGGGGAGATAGCTTTCTAATTTCTGTAGGTATTATAGAAGTTTTTTTTCTAGCTTCCAAATCCTTGTTTACTTATCCTGTCTCACCTGCCCCAGCCCAGTCCTAAAATTAAGGGCAAAGGGCAGAGATTCATGTCCCCATTCAAGTGGGAACCTAGTGGCCCCCAAACTCATCTAATTATTGGAAGCCTTCTCTGGAAACAGTGGTGAGAAAGGGAACTCTTATCACATCCACTTCTAATTTCAAAGATGCTACCTAAAAATCAGTCAGAAACCTAGTGAGAGTGTAATTTGGTCTAGAATGATTGTGATGAGCTAAAAACTCAGCTCACATCAGGTCTTGCTACCTAGGCTAAAACCAACAAAAGCAGCTTCATGTAGTTAGTAGGTACATGAATGCTCATGATTACAGACCTAAAATTTCGGAGCATCTGAGGGCAAGCCTTTTTTTAAAAAAAAAAAAAAATCTAATATTTAACTGATCATTTACTATTTGCCAGATACTGTTTTGAACCCTTTTCTATGGAATCATGTTTAATCCTTACAACTGAGTATGAGATTCAGGCTTAGATATGTTACATAACCGAAGTTCACTTAGATAGTACCTGGTGGAACTAGTATTTGACCCAAGGGTTGTCTGACTTTAGAGACCAGTGTCTTAACCACATGTGATTTTGTGCAGCAGGAAGAGCTAAAGAGTCTTCCTCTAAGATGACACGTAAAAGAAGAGCCCACTTGGAAAAGCTTGCGTCAAAATATTTCAGTTGTCTGTTACAACATTTTCAAAACCTTGAAGGCCACCTGAAACAATTTATGATGCTTCCAACCCTTCCGATTCACCATCATCTATGTCAGTTGATCTTTGGTCATAATGTCAGGTAACTTGAGAGCCTGCTGCCCATCCTTCTATCCTTTAAATATTCCTGGAATATTATTCATCTAGATCTAATCTCCAAGCTACCCTGCTCAAATATTGACAAGACTGTCCTGGTGATGGTTGGCATCCCATTAATATAGCACATATTAATTTTCTGTGCTGACCAACCAAATCCTATCATTGTGTTTATCATTAAGGCCTTCTATTACCCCAAGCTTTCAAGACTTCAAATATCTGAGTTCAGCCTCCCGTTATTATCCTGGTTTTGAGATTCTGAGCCCAGTATCAGTGATCGGTAACTGGAAGTGTACCAACTATGCCCTTGGGGTTGAGAGGGCCTTGCATAACAGCAGCGTGGGGTTCCTATAGTAAACTTCACTTGTTATTTTTCACAACACCTCCATCCAGAAAAGTCACTTTTGCAGTCATTAAAGCTTGTATTCTTGATATCCCTGACTTGATACTTCATTAACCTGTTAGTATATGGAGAACTATTGCCTAATCAGAAGTTAGTTCCAATATGAAAAAAATAGTATAGAAGAATAGGCTAATGGGAAAAAAAATGACTCAAGTCCATGGTTTGTCAGGTGGGATGCTGTGAAGTCAAGCAGAGGTTTTCTCTAGTTTTGATTTAGGCAGAAATACTGTCCACCCACATAGAAAACGGGAGGTTTCTTGGTCTCCATTGTGTATTCTCCCCTTGGTAAGGTATCACAAACACTTGGCACATTTTGTTATGGCTTACTCTTTTATCTGGGAGAGTGATAGCTGATTAATCATACTGCTCTATTACCTTGCACTTGCTGTAACCTCACATTCTTTGTCACAATCTAAGCATCTTCCAGCATTATAGAGAATGTCACGTAAGATGAAAACTCCTTGCCATTCCTTCCTATTTCAGATTGATGATTGATATGGTTTGGCTCTGTTTCCCCACCCAAATCTCGTAGTTCCCCAAATTCCCACACGTTGTGGGAGGGAACTGGTGGGAGATGATTGAATTATGGGGGCAGGTCTTTCCCGTGCTGCTCTTATGACAGTGAATGGATCTCACAAGATCTGATGGTTTTAAAAATGGGAGTTGCCGTGCACAAGCTCTCTTTGCCTGCCACCATCCATGTAAGACGTGACTTGGTCCTCCTTCCCTTTTGCCATGATTGTGAGGCCTCCCCAGCCACATGGAACTGTGAGTCCAATTAAACCTCTTTCTTTTGTAAATTGCCTAGTCTCGGGTATGTCTTTATCAGCAGCATGAACACAATGACATAGATTTGGCTATTTGCCTAGCTCTTTATTTCACTTTTGTTATCTCTTGGACTGACTCTGTTTTATATGCTGCAACTCAGTCTTGTTTCCCTTCCAGACTCCTGATATAGTCTTCTTCAAGTGGATCTTGGTGACCATGTAACTCTCTCTCAATTACTTGGACTTGTAATGAGAGACCTGGTAATCCCACAAATGTCTCCCAGAACAAATAGATTTGATGGTAAAAAAAAAAAAAAAAAAATCATTGTCATGATCTCATTCTGTGAATGAAACTACTGATAAAATGAAAGAGAAAAGGTACTAGTTCATAAATTTTGAATTAAATGAATGTAAGAGTGAACATCAAAGCTAATCAAGAGACAAAAAGATTGAGGCCAGAGTACAGAATAAGATAATGAAGGCCATTACTAATGTGCCTTCTTTTCTTCCTTTTATTACTAAGTAATTATTTTACAGTATAATTAATCTCTTACCAAAAATAATCTCCCATTAGACATTTAAACTTTTCCCCAAGTAGTTCTAGTCTCTCTCCATCTCACTGGAAGAAATAGTAACAGAGTGAATGTAAAGGGAAAGGTTATAAAAGGATTTCAATTTCCTTTATTAAATGACTCTAATTATTTTCACTAAGCTTCCCTTAAATGAACATACTCAGACATTCTCTCCAAATCTTCTCACTACTCAAGTAGCTCTTCAAATGTCAATCTTGCCTAAATATTACTTTGCAATTTTTTCTTGTTTTCAGAGATATAAATACAAAGAAAAGGAAGTCTTCCATTGAATCTTTCAACATTTTTTATTATAATTAAAAAAAATTCGTCTCATTGCTGTTCATGTCTTAGCTGTTTGGAATAAAAGGTCAAAGAAAAAAACACTTTTTTTGTGATCTGTCAGAAGTTCATATTTTTTATTTTCTTGCTGGCAGATTCTTTCAGTTTCAGTAAGGATAATTTTGAGGGCTTATATGTAATTATTCATTGAAACATATTTTTCAAAATTAGTCTCAGAATCAGATGAAACTGATTAGATCTTAGAGTTCAGACATGAAAATTTGCCTCAAGGAAACACTAAAAAATGTATGTCACTTCCAAATAGTATGACTAATAGTTACATAAACAGACATATTATTTACCAAGGAGAAAGTTAGTCTAAAATATTTTTCACGAAATGATTTTGGAATTAGTATGTGTAGGTTATGACAGACTTGAGACTTTCCTGTTTCATTCTATCATTTTGTTCATAATCTATTAACAAAGAATAATTTGATTTAGATCAATCTCAGAACACTAAAAGTATCAGATGATGACTATTCCTTAATCACCTGATTAAATTGTTAAGGAAACCTGCTGTCTCTTTACTCACAAAAGAAACACATCATTCTTATTAAGAAGCAAGGGAAGACAGAAGATTCAGAAACAAATTACATTTTCTTGTGGTAATAACAATTTTTGGGGGGGTTGAAATTGCATTGTATAAATTTACCTCTTGTATTTTCACACTGATGAACAGTTACCCATTCCTTAGTTACCCGTAGAGATCTACTTGAGCTTATACACAAGAACCTTTGTTCTTTGAATTACTTATATTTTTATGTGGAAAGGCAGGTAGTTGTGAAAGAAGTAAAAAAAAATGTGATGGTTTTTCCTAACCTAATCTTATGCCCTTTTTATGTTTCCTCTGCCTGTTAGGATTATAATAAAGTTAAAATGTAACAAGTTAAGCAACCAAGGTGTTTTTTGGTAGATGAATGGGTAAACTGTGATACGTTCAGGCAAAAGAATATTATTCATTATTAAAGATTAATAAGCTTTCAAGCCATGAAAAGACATGGAGAAAACTTTAATGCATATTACTAAGTAAAAGAAACCATTCTGAAAAGGCTAAATACTGTGGTATTTCATATGTAACATTCTGAAAAAAGCAAAACTATAGAGACAGTAAAAAGACCGGTAGTTGCCAGAGTATGGGGGAAGAAGGGATGAATAGGCAGAGCACAGGGACTTTTAGGACAGTGAAATTATTCTGCATGATACTATAATGGTGGATACCTGTCATTATACTTTTGGCAAAACACATAGGAAGTACAACACCAAGACTGAAACTTGATGTAAACTATGGACTTTGGTTGATAATTATGTGTCAACGTAGGTCCACTGATTATAACAAATGTACTATTCTGGTGAGGGAATGTTGATAGTGGGGGAAACTGGGCATGTGTGTAGTCAGAGCATATATAAAAATCTCTAAGTAGTTACTGTTCAACTTTGCTAAGAACCTAAAAATTACTCTAAAAAATGAAATCTCCAAAAGGAAAAAAAATTCAACCAGTTTGTATTGTTATACCTAAGAAGAGTAGTCATATTTACGGTGATGATTTTTTAAGGGACAATTATCTGAACCTGTGGCTTATCAAAGATTTATTTTCTCATTTATGATCTCATTTATGGACAAAGAACAAACATTCTTACGTTATTCCTTAATAAGTTATTTGTAAATCAGTATTTTATAAAATAATTATATGTAAAAATCACTTGACACAAAATTCATATTACTTTATAATTCATATACTATCAATATTAGTATATTATCTTACTATTATCTGAAGAATTCAACTTACCCAGAATTATTTATGCTTATTTTCTTTTAACTTACATTTGCATTTCAGTTGGGTTAGCTAGAGAGACTATATGATATAATGGACATTGCTTTTTCTGGTTCATCCAAACTGTTTCAGCTGGTTAAATATAGGCTTCTAATTTCCATGTTTGTACTTGGTAATGAAAGCAAAATTTGTATATTCTTTCATGATTAGGAATACCAGAGTTATAGTAAATGCAATAATCAAGTACTTTCTTTTATCTTTGATATATAGGTGCATTATTTGACTTAACTGGTAACCAAGGGTTCATTAAGTTATCATGAAGTACATTATGAATATTTTCATGTGACAGTGTAGAAATCCACTTTAGAAAAGATGTGATGTCTTACTCATATCATTCCATTAAGAATTTTTCCTTCTCACTCTCACTCTCCAAATCCATTCAGGATGGGACAATTAATAAACAATCAAGTTTTGCCTCCTAAAGATGAACGTGTCCTGATGTATATTCCCTGGACCTCAGATATTAATAAATATTATGTGGGAACATTTTGTCATCATATGTCTGGGAAATCCTGAGTTAAGCAGGGTTTTTAAGATTTTTCAGACTCTATAAGTTGTTAATGTAAAAAAAATGTTCTAATCTAGGGAAGTAGAGTGTTTTTTACCTTGGGGATATATTTTTTAAAGGAGTATCCCGCAAGGTGAGCATGCCATGGAATGAACTTTGGAAAATATTGATCTGGAATATTCAGGGGATTAATGCAGATGTCACTTAACTGTTGCACCATTTGTAAATTATAATGAATTATCCTGGACAATTTTCTTCTTCAGTTCTGAGTGGTAAAATCTCAAAAATATTTTCTTCTTCTGAATTCTCATACAAGTGGAAAGGTTCCTAAACCACTGTTACTAAATTTATTCTGCACCTGTCACCTAAAGCATGAATTATAATAGAAACTTGACCCATGAAGCATAACATACATTATATTTTAATGTTCTCAAAATTTTTCATAAAAATTGACATTCTCAAATGACCAGAAAACTCCCAGAGGGTTTATCATAAGGTGTAATGATATAATAGTATATAATATGTAATAATGGATAATGCATATAATATCTGTAATACATAATAATAACAATGTATAAGAATACATTATTAGTATTCTACATTATTAGCATTCTCAAGAAGAGGCTATCAGTTTCAGAAATGTCAAATTTATCAGAATTGGTTTACCTTGCTCTTTTAAAAAAGAGATATTTTGGCCGGGCGCAGTGGCTTACGCCTCTAATCCCAGCACTTTGGGAGGCCAAGGTGGGCTGATCACGAGGTCAGGAGATCAAGACCATCCTGGCTAACACGATGAAACCCCGTCTCTACTAAAAATACAAAAAATTATCTGGGTGTGGTGGTGGGCACCTGTAGTCCCAGCTATTCGGGAGGCTGAGACAGGAGAATGGCGTGAACCCGAGAGGCGGAGTTTGCAGTGAGCTGAGATCGCGCCACTGCACTCCAGCGTGGGCAACAGAGCGAGACTCTGTCTCAAAAAAAAAAAAAAAAAAAAAGAGACATTTTATTATTTTCATCAATACTCTAAAAGCTTGAAAAATATGTTTATAATAATTTTAACTGGAATAATTGTAGATGTATTATTAATATTATTATGGGAAATTAATATTTCCCATGATAAACTTGGGAAAAGGATTCTGAAGTTAAACTATTAAAATATACCCAGAAGTGATGTGATTAGCTATAGGTAAAAGGGAAATAAGAAAATTTAAATGAGCAACTGACATGTCTATTAACTACAGATACCTTTTATTATCATCAAAACCAAGGAGAATCTCAAACTGTAATCTCTGGTAAGACAAGTTGACATATGATTTAAATTTATTAGGTGGAAGATAGGGATCTGGCAAGATGACTGAATAGGAACAGCTCTGGTCTGCAGCCTCCAGCCAGACCAAAGCAGAAGGCTTTGGTTTTGGGGGATTCCCTCGTGTGCCTACACCACCAGGGCCCTGGGTTTTAAGCACAAAACTAGCTGTTTGGGCAGACACTGAGTTAGCTGCAGGAGTTTTTTTTTTCATATCCCAGTGGTGCCTGGAACCTCAGCGAGACAGAACTATTCACTGCCCTGGAAAGGGGGCTGAAGCCAGGGAGCCAAGTGGTCTCGCTCAGTGGGTCCCACTCCCACGGGACCCAGCAAGCTAAGAACCACTGGCTTGAAATTCTCGCAGCCAGCACAGCAGTCTCAAGTCAACCTGGGATGATTTAGCTTGGTAGGCAGAGGAGCCTCTGCCATTACTGAGGCTTGAGTAGGCGGTTTTCCCCTGACAGTGCTAAGGAGGCCGGGAGGTTTGGACTGGGTGGAATTCACCACAGTGCAGCAAAGCAGCTGTGGCCAGACTGCCTCTCTAGATTCCTCCTCACTGGGCAGGACATCTCTGAAAAAAAGGCAGCAGCCCCAGTCATGGGCTTATGGATGAAACTCCCATATCCCTGGAACAGAGCACCTGGGAGAAGGGGCAGCTGTGGGTGCAGCTTCAGCGGACTTAAAAGTTCCTGCCTGCCGGCTCTGAAGACAGTAGCTGATCCTGACAAGGAGGATTCTCCCTAGCAAGTTCTGCTAAGGGACAGACTGCCTCCTCAAGTGGGTCCCTGACCACCCGGGCTTCCTGACTGGGAAAGACCTCCCAATAGGGGTCGACAAACACCCCATTCACGAGAGCTCCAGCTGGCATCAGGCCAGTGCCCTTCTGGGTTGAATCTTCCAGAGGAAGGAGCAGGCAGTAATCTTTGCTGTTCTGCAGCCTCCACTTGTGATACCCAGGTGAACAAGGTCTGGAGTGGACTTCCAGCAAACTGCAGCAGACCTGCAGAAAAAGGGCCTGAGTGTTAGAAGAAAAACTGACAAACAGAAATCAACAACATCAACATCAACAAGAAGGACCTGCACACAAAAAACCCATACAAAGATCATCAGCCTCAAAGATCAAAGGTAGATAAATCCACGAAGATGAGGAAAAAGCAGAAGAAAAATGCTGAAAATTCCAAAAAATCGGCCTGGCGCGGTGGCTCACACCTGTAATCCCAGCACTTTGGGAGGCCAAGGCGGGCGGATCACTAGGTCAGGAGATCGAGACCATCCTGGCTAACACAGTGAAACCCTGTCTCTACTAAAAATATAAAAAATTAGCCAGGCGTGGTCGTAGGCGCCTGTAGTCCCAGCTACTTGGGAGGCTGAGGCAGGAGAATGGCATGAACCTGGGAGGCGGAACTTGCAGTGAGCCAAGATCACGTCACCGCACTCCAGCCTGGGAGACAGCGAGACTCCGTCTCAAAAAAAAAAAAAAAAAAAATTCCAAAAAATCAGAATGCCTCTTCTCCTCCATATTATGGCAACCCCTCTCCAGGAAGGGCACAAAACTGGACAGAGAATGAGATTGATGATTGACAGAAGTAGGCTTCAGAAAGTGAGTACTAACAAATTCCTCTGAGCTAAAGGAGCACATTCTAACCCAATGCAAGGAAACTAATAACCTTAATAAAAGGTTACAGGAACTGCTAACTAGAATAACCAGTGTAGAGAGAAACATAAATGTCCTGATCCAGCTGAAAAACACAGCACGAGAACTTCGTGAAGCATACACAAGTATCAATAGCCAAATTGATCAAGGGAAATAAAGAATATCAGAGATTGAAAATCAACTTACTGAAATAAGGCATGAAGACAAGATTAGAGAAAAAAAGAATGAAAAGGAATGAGCAAAGCCCCCCAAAATATGGGACTATCTGAAAAAACTAAACCTACGATTGATTGGTGTACCTGAAAGTGAAGGGGATAATGGAACCAAGTTGGAAAACGCACTTCAGGATATTATCCAGGAGAACTTTCCCAACCCAGTGAGACAGGCCAACATTCAAAGTCAGGAAATACAGAGAACACAACTAAGATACTCCTCGAGAAGAGCAATCCCAAGATACATAATCGTCAGATTTTCCAAGGTTGAAACGAAGGAAAAAATCTTAAGAGCAGCCAGAGAGAAAGGTCAGGTTACCTACAAAGGGAAGACCATCAGACTAACAGCAGATCTCTCTGCAGAAACCCTACAAGCCAGAAAAGAGTGGGGGCTAATATTCAACATTCTTAAAGAAAACAATTTTCAACCCAGAATTTCATATCCAGCCAAATTAAGCTTAATAAGTGAAGGAGAAATAAAATACTTTACAGGCAAGCAAATGCTGAGGGATTTTATCACCGCCAGGTCTGCCTTACAAGAGCTCCTGAAGGAAGCACAAAACATGGAATGGAAAAAACAGTACCAGCCACTGCAAAAACACACCAAAATATAAAGACCAATGACACTATGAAGAAACTGCTCCAACTAATGTGTAAAATGACTAGCTAGCATTATGATTACAGGATCAAATTCACACATAACAATATTAACCTTAAATGTAAATGGGCTAAGCACCACAGTTGAAAGACACAGACTGGTGAATTGGATAAAGATTCAAGACCCACTCGTGTGCTGAATTCAGGAGACTCATCTCATGTGCAGACTCACATAGACTTAAAACAAAGGGATGGACAAATATTCACCAAGCAAACAGAAAGAAAAAAAAAAGCAGGGGTTTGCAATCCTAGTCTCCGATAAAGCCAACTTTTAAACCAACAAAGATCAAAAATTTCAAAGAAGGGCATTACATAATGGTAAAGGGATCAGTGCAACAAGAAGAGCAAACGATCCTAATTATATATGCACCCAATACCCAGATTCATGAAACAAGTTCTTAGAGAACTAAAAAGAGACTTAGACTCCCACACAATAATAACGGGAGACTTTAACACCCAACTGTCAATGTTAGACAGATCAATGAGGCAGAAAATTAACAAGGATATGCAGGACTTGAATTTATCTCTGGACCAAGCAGACCTAATAGATATCTGTAGAACTCTCCACCCAAAATCAACAGAATTCACATTCTTCTCAGTACCACATAGCACTTATTCTAAAATCAACCACATAATTGGAAGTAAAACATTCCTCAGCAAATGCAAAGAACGGAAATCATAACAAACAGTCTCTCAGACAACAGTGCAATCAAATTAGAACTCAGGATTAAGAAACTCACTCAAAATTGCACAACTACATGGAAATCAAACAACCTGCTCCTGAATGACTACTGGGAAGATAATGAAATTAAGGCAGAAATAAAGAAGATCTTTGAAACCAGTGAGAACAAAGATACAACATACCAGAATCTCTGGGACACAGCTAAAGCAGTGTTAAGGGGTAAACTTACAGCACTAAATGCCAACATCAGAAAGCTGAAAAGATATGAAATTGACACCCAAACATCACAATTAAAAGAACTAGAGAAGCAAGGGCAAGCGAATTCAAAATCTAGCAGAAGACAAGAAATAACTATGATAAGAGAAGAACTGAAAGAGATAGAGACACAAAAAAACCTTCAAAAAATCAATGAATCAAGGAGCTTGTTTTTTTTAAAAGATTAACAAAATAGATAGACCACTAGCTAGACTAATAAAGAAGAAAACGTAGAAGAATCAAACAGACACAATAAAAATGGTAAAGGGGATATCACTGCTGATCCCACAGGAATACAAACTACCATCAGAGAATATTACAAACAATCCTACATAAATTAACTGAAAACCTAGAAGAAATGAATAAATTCCTGGGCACATACACCCTCCCAAGACTAAACCAGGAAGTTGAGTCCCTGAATAGAGCAATAACAAGTTCTGAAATTGATGCAGTAATTAATAGCCTACCAACCAAAAAAGCCCAGGACCAGACAGATTCACAGCCGAATTCTACCAGAGGTACAAAGAGGAGCTGGTAACATTCCTTCTGAAACAATTCCAAGCAATAGAAAAAGAAGGACTCCTCCCTAACTCATTTTATGAGGCCAGCATCATCCTGATACCAAAACCTCACAGAGACACAACAAAAAAAATAAAATTTCAGGTCAATATCCCTTATGTACATCGATCTAAAAATCCAAAATAAATTACTGGTAGAACAAATCCAGCAGCACATCAAAAAGTTTATCCACCATGATCAAGTTGACTTCATCAGTGGGATGCAAGGCTGGTTCAACATACACAAATTAATAAACATAATCCATCACATAAACAGAACCAATGACAAAATCACATGATTATCTCAATAGGAGGAGAAAAGTCCTTCAATAAAACTCAAGATCCCTTCATGCTAAAAATTCTCAATAAACTAGGTATTGATGGAACAAATCTCAAAATAATAAGAGCTATTTATGACAAACCCACAGCCAATATCATACTGAATGGGCAAAAACTGGAAGCATTCCCTTTGAAAACCGGCACAAGACAAGGATGCCCTCTCTCACCACTCCTATTCAACACAGCATTGGAAGTTCTGGCCAGGGCAATGAGGCAAGAGAAAGAAATAAAGCGTATTCAATTAGGAAGAGAGGAAGTCAAATTGTCTCTGTTTACAGATGACGTGATTGTATATTTAGAAAACCCCATTGTCTCAACCCCCAAAATCCTTAAGCTGATAAGCAACTTCAGCAAAGTCTCAGGATATGAAATCAATGTGCAAAAATCACAAGCATTGCTATACATGAATAATAGACAAGCAGAGAGCCAAATCATGAGCGAACTTCCATTCAAAATTGCTACATTAAAATACCTAGGAATACAACTTACAAGAGTTGTGTATGATCTCTTGAAGGAGAACTACAAACCAGTGCTCAAGGAAATAAAAGAGGACACAAACAAATGGAAAAAAAAATCCATGATCATGGATTGGAAGAATCAATATCATGGAAATGGCCATACTGCCCAAGGTAATTTATAGATTCAATGCTATTCCCATCAAGCTACCATTGACTTTCCTTGCAGAATTAGAAACACTACTTTAAATTTCATATGGAGAAAAAGGAGCCCGTAGAGTCAAGACAATCCTAAGCAGAAAGAACAAAGCTGGAGGCATCACACTACCTGACCTCAAACTATACTACAAGACTACAGTAAACAAAACAGCATGGTACTTGTACCAAAAGAGATATATAGACCAAGGAAACAACAGAAGCCCCAGAAATAACACCGCACATCTGCAACCATTTGATCTTTGACAAACCTGACAAAAAACACACACACACACACACACAATGGGGAAAGGATTCCCTATTTAATAAATGGTGCTGGCAAAACTGGCTAGTCATATGCAGAAAACAGAAACTGGACTCCTTCCTTACACCTAAAAAATTAACTCAAGATGGATTAAATAGTTAAATGTAAAACCTAAAACCATAAAAACCCTGAAAGAAAACCTGGGCAATACTATTCAGGACATAGGCATGGACAAAGACTTCATGACTAAAACACTGCAACAAACACTTAAATGTGAAACCTAAAACCATAAAAACCCTAGAAGAACCTAGGCAATACCATTCAGGACATAGGCATGGGCGAAGACTTCATGACTAACACACCAAAACAATTGCAACAAAAGCCAAAATTAACAAATGGGATCAAATTAAACTAAAGAGCTTCTGCACAGCAAAAGAAACTATCATCAGAGTGAACAGGCAACCTACAGAATGGGAGAAAATTTTTGCAATCTATCCATTTGACAGAGGTCTAATATCCAGAATCTACAAGAAACTTCAACAAATATACAAGAAAAAAAACAACCCCATCAAAAAGTGGGCAAAGGATATAAACAGACACTTCTCAAAAGAAGACATTTAAGTGGCCAACAAACATGAAAAAAAAGCTTATCATCACTGGTCTTTAGAGAAATGAAAATCAAAACCACAATGAGATACAATCTCATGCCAGTTAGAACGGCGATCATTAAAAAGTCAGGAAAAAACAGATGCTGGTGAGGCTGTGGAGAAATAGGAATGCTTTTACACTGTTGATGGGAATGTAAATTAGTTCAACTATTGTGGAAGACAGTGTGGTGATTCCTCAAGGATTTAGAACCAGAAATACCATTTGACCCAGCCATCCCATTACTGAGTATATTCCCAAAGGATTATAAATCATCCTATTATAAAGACACATGCACACATATGTTTATTGCAGCACTATTTGCAATAGCAAAGACTTGGAACCAACCCAAATACCCATCAATGATAGACTGGATAAAGAAAATGTGGCACATATACACTATGGAATACTATGCAGCCATAAAAAAGGATGAGTTTACGTCCTTTGCCAGGGACATGGATGAAGCTGGAAACCATCGTTGTCAGCAAACTAACACAGGAACAGAAAACCAAACACCACATGTTCTCACTAATAAGTGGGAGTTGAACAATGAGAGGACATGGACACAGGGAGGGGAACATCACACACCAGGGCCTGTCAGGGGTTGGGGAACAAAGGCAGGAAGAATATTAGGACAAATACCTAATGCATGTGGGGCTTAAAACCTAGATGACATGTTGACAGGTGAAGCAAACCACCATAAAACAGGTATACCTACGTAACAAACCTGCATGTTCTGCACATGTGTCCCAGAACTTAAAATTAAAAAAAAGAACCAAAGGAAAAGGGTTTCACCTTATAAAACCATTAAAAACAAAGAATAAGGTAGATAGCCCTATTTCTAATTTTCCAAGTGTCTAGTCACTTATTTCAATATCATTTATAATCACTTTTCCCCTCTCACTTGAAGTGATAATAACTTCTGCAGTAGACAGAACGTGTATACCACAGATGCCCACATGCTAATCTCCAAAAACCTATAAATATGTTAGGTCAAAAGGCAAAGGAAAATTAAGGTTGCTAATCAGATGAACCTGTGATGTGGTGCATAACCTGGATTATCCAGGTGGACCCAATGTAATCACAAGAGTGCTTGTAAGTGGAAGAAGGAGGCAAAAGGGTCAGAGTCAGAGAAAGAGTTGAGGATGCTATGCTGCTGGCTTTGAATATGGCGGCCAGGGCCAAGAGACAAGCAAAGAAGGCAGCCACTAAAAGCTGGAAGAGGCAAGGAAACAGATGCTTCCCAGAGCCTCCTGAAGTCATGCAGTACTGCCAACACCTTGATTTCAGCTCAGCGAGACCCACTTTGGACTTCTCATATTCAGAACTGTAAGGTAATAAATTTGTATTGTTTTAAAAAATTACTGTGTAAAAAGCTATCCAATTACATTGTCCTCTCTGGTGAAAACCTGTATATTTGTAGTTGGGTTTTAGTCTGGAGAGTCACCCAAAGTGAATTGCTTATCAGAGTGCTCTGGGAAATTATGAAAAAAAAATCAGTTCTCTACATTTAGATATTCTGATTCAGTAGGTCTAGGATGGGGGCCCCCTAATTTATATGTTTAACCAAATCCTTAGTGGATTTTTATGCACCCATTCCGGTGCTTTTTTATGTCAGCTTGCTTTTGGGAACCACTGTTGCAGAGCTATGAAAACCCAAAGAGCCAGAAGCAAGCAACGTTTATCCATCAGTAACTAGAGAGGAGACCAGGAATCTGGTGGTCATTGATGTAGTCAAAGGATAGTTTTAATCTGTGTGGGTCAGGTGTAATCAATTAAGTTACCAATGTTGTCATCTCTCTTTGCCTAATATTCAAGCCTTCAATTTACTAATTCAATATACTAAATAAATTGTAATCGTAAGAACGTTTTGTCATGTTTTCACATGAGTACTGTAGTTAAATGAAAGTCATATTATTGATTACAAAATAAACCTGAATAGCCTGATTCAATAAACTTGATTAACCTGATTCATCAACCCTATGCCTGTCAACAACAGAACTCTATAAAACCAGAGAGCCTAACCCTTGGTAATAACAAGTCTATCATGAAAATGCCACTTTGGGGGCCACTCTGGAGGCGGACGTTGGATTTTCTCCTGCTTAGTCCTGAAGGGGAGGAGGAATTTCAGGTCCTTCATCCCATCCCTATCTCAGGTCTCTCACCCTTTCTTAGGTGTCCTATCACAGGTCGGATTCTCCGAGAAGAAGAATAAGAGATAAATAAATTGAAAAACTAATACTAATTAGTAAATTATTTATACTATGTGGGCATTTTTATGATGATGATGATTATTATTATTACTATAGGTTTTTCTAATTGTTGGTTGAGCACAACTTGCCTATTTTGCTCTTTGTTTTCATGCATAAGCATGAGAGGACTATGAAATACACTAAAAAGTGGCATATTTGATCAGTTTTGTCATTTACTTTCTGTATTAGCCACAAGACCAGGTTATTAATCTTTAGCAACAAATCAAAACAAATTAATTTGCTCTGGTAGGTACACTATGCATCCAGGTATACTGGAATATTATGCATCCAAAAAGAAGAACAAGATCATGTTTTTTGCAGCAACATGGCTGGAGCCAGAGGCCATTATCCTTAGAAAACTAACACAGGAACAGAAAACCAAATATCGCATGTTTTCACTTATAAATGGGACTTATGAGAACACATGGACACATAGAAGGGAACAGCAGACACTGGGGCCTGCTGGAGGCTGGAGGGTAGGAGGAAGGAGACGGTCATAAAAAATAACTAAAGGGTACTAGGCTTAATGCCTGGGTGATGAAATAATCTATACAACAAACCCCCATAACAAAAGTTTGCCTATGTAACAAACTTGCACTTATATCCCTACACTTAGAATAAAACCTTAAAAAAAAAGAGCCTTCTTTGGCCGTCCTTCCATGTTTCCTATGGACACATCCCACAGCAATGATGGGCCTCTAAAACCCTATTGCAATTTTGTTTTCATTTTTCTTCACTTTTTTTCTCTTTCTTGACATCTACTATGAAGTCTCATTTCCCCTGCTTATTGCCATAGATTGCTTGTCTATAATGAAGCTCTGCCTTAGAAATGCCAAATATAATGAAAAAAGGTGGAGAAAACATAGCAAAGTTGGCCACTGAAATTTGTGAGGGTCACACATTTATAAAGCACACAGGTTTTGCAAATTCATCAACTAAACTTTGAAATAAGTGTACGATCCTTTGCTCTTTTCTCGGGGCAACTTTAAGTTTTCTACTCTTTACTACATTGAGATCATATCACTGTAAAATGTAAAAATGAACATTTGGAGAGTTTAGCATATGTCTATAGGCCAAACTTAATCCAAATCAAGCTCTAACTTTTAAAACTTCAGCTAGACAGTAGAAAATGAATCATTGCTTTGCATAAATATTTTGTTTGTATTGACATATTATGAAATTTCCAAGAAAAGATTTTACCTCATAAAAAATTGGTTAACTATCCTGAGCACCTATTATATATGTCTCTTGTCAAAATTTAAATGGAATAAACATTTAAGTACTTAATATGATAATCTAAACTTTCCTTTCCCTCCAATTCTATCTTATTAGAGGGTAAAATGAATAATATTCTTAGTTCCAGACTTTGCTAGAGGAACAAATACACAGAGATAGAATATATTTGATAAAACAAAGTTTAATGATAATAATCTGAAGGAAACAGTTCTACTACTGTACATTTTTATCCATGCATAAAGACACTCTTCTGTTTTTCAGAAACACTAGAAAACAAAACCAAAACCAAAATAAACAACAATAAAAAGCATTCTGAGTGATTTTGCAGCTTGTAAATGACTTGAGAAAAATACGTGCTTTATTAACCACGTGCTTGTGAGAGTTACTAGATTTTCAAATATATGTATGTTGTCCCATGTAATCCTATGATAAGTGAATGGTTATAATCTTCCTTTTAAAGATGAGAACGTGTAGATAAGAGATATTCAATAAATTCCCCCTTCTTGTGCAGCTGAGCCCCATGCCCAGAAACATTTGTTTCCAGAATCCAGCTGTTTTCTCTATATCACAATACTTTTCAATTAGATTGTAATTTTTTTTGTGAAAAGGAAAATAATTCATCTATTCATCAACCATTTATTAATTATTCTCCAAAATCCTAACTCCATGCTGGGTAATTTTGGAGAATTACAAGTGAAGATGATAAGGAACTTTCACTAACCTACTTTCAAAATAGGAGAAATGAAATTTCAGTAAACAGATACATATTTTACTTCCAGTAGTGCCTAATTGCCTTTGACATCTTCCTGGTGATTGTTTCCCAGAATATTGTTAGGAAGCTCCATCCTACCTCTCTTCACTTGTTCTTTATTTTTGCATTTTTGGTGGCAATAACAATCTACAGTACTTGATTAGTCAGGGTGATTAATGGTTGTAGCAAATAACTCCAAACTCTTTTGATTTAGCACAACACAACACAAGAGCATTTTTTGTTCATGGTGTATACAAGTTGGAGCTACCCTACTGAGAGAGAGGAGTGTGGAAGGCACTCTGCTTTAATCATTCAGGAGTTCAGTCTTTTCATTCTTTGTAGTAGTATTTTCTGCACAAGACCTGCAAGATTGCCCCTGAATTAGAAGAATAAAGATGGAGAAAATGTTTTATAGGGCTCATTTTCATCCACACACCATTGGTTAGAACGTAATTGCTCGGCTCGTTCCAGAATAGGCAGGGGTTGGAAAATGTGACTTAGCTGTGTTCCCAATAGGAAGATGATTCTGTGAACACAAAACATCGTCTTTGGCACAAGTACTTTTGCCCCCATGTTATTTTAAGGGGTTTGATGAACAGAAAATAATGCCTAGGATGCAGATCCAAATACAGCTTTCTAGAGTGCATGTGGGCATGGAGAAATGTTGGGTTCCTCATGCGTAAGAACCCATACGCCTCAATTTTAGCCTCTGATATTCCCATGTTCGTTGATGCCTCATTTGCTGCTTAGTCTGAGCAATAGCAGGGAACATTTACATTTATGTTCAGGCTCCCACAATTTCCAGAAATGCACTTCAAGACAGTTTCAGAAGTATTCAGGGATCCCTTTTAAACTCTGTCTCAGAGAAAGTGACAGTCCTGTCCAGTGATGTTGGCTATATTTCATTTACTAATCCAATTTTTCAAAAATGTGTGTTTGATATTTACTATGTGCTAAGCATGATATTAAGGTCTGAATATGTATGCATACACATTCATATATATATAAAAACTACTGTTTTACATATATGTATATATACATATATATGTAAATACATGTCAAAATAGACATGACCTTTGATGTCCTAGAATTTATAGCTTAGCTGGTGGAGTGTGGGGAGCAGATATTAATCAAAGAATGTCACGAAATGCTTATGCTGTACTTCTAAAAGTTGATATATGTTATGAAGGAAAGTGCTGAGCTATGGAGTAGAATACAAGGGGGCTTGTCCTAATTCTGGCTTATGTTTGAAAGCTGAGGAATAAATGGGATTTAACTAGGCAAGTAGAAAAGAGACTGGAGCAAAGGAAATCCTCTTCCCAGCCCCACTACCAGTACACGTGACTCTGCTTCCTCCATTTACCACCTTCTGGAAAGCCACAGACCCTGTAGTAGTTCTTGTGCATCTAGATTTTCCACCAGTGCCACAGATTTTCCCATCAGTTCCACAGAATTCCTGAATGATTGAAGCAAATATCCTCTTCATAGCCCCACTTCCAGTACAAATGACTCTGTTTCCTCCATTTACCGACTTCCGGAAAGCCACAAACCCTGTAGTAGCTATTGTGTATCTAGATTTTCCACTAGTGCCACAGGATAGAAAAATCATCATATGAATTGTCTGTCTCCAGTGAGAGGAGAAATAGGTCTCTCTTGATGAATAGAAATCTTCTTCTCCTGTGACTCTAACCCTTTAACAATCTAGACAAGAAAGTTAAATTATGTTTACGTGAGACTTCTCCATGGCTTTTCTGACCACCAAGATTCTCTAAAACCCTTCCTATCCACTCCTGAATAAGTCTTATTGCACATTTTATAAAGAAATGGCATGGGTAAAACATTGATATAATTCTCTTTGCATTCAACTATGAAATAATTCTTGAACTAAGTGATTATGACTAAGTGTTCATTTAAATGCAATAAAGTGCTTCAAACAATGAAGAAGGAAATAAGCTTGGGAGTGAGCAAATTGATCCTATAGTGGTCAAGGCCAGTGCTTTACAGATGGGAAGAGAAAATTATAATTAGCTTCAAAACAGCTCTAGCCAATTTGTATGGATCTGGCTAATATTGATGCCAATTGGAAGTCAATAATTGATTAGCAGTCTTAATAACTGTTTTTAGCTTTTAATTGTAGAAAATTAAAAATGTAGATTCTTCAAGCAATAATCTGAATACAGGTATTAATAGCTGAAATAGTATATTAATTTTTATTTACATCTCTGAAAGATAAAAATGTAATTTATAGCAGGCTTATAAAATTCAAGTACAGTTGAAATTATAATGGACACTAATGACATTTAATCAAGGCTAAGCCTGTTAGCTAGATAAACAATTTTAATTCATGTTAGAAGTGTAAACAGAGTATAATTTGGTCTCTACTTGGATATCAGCTGACATTTTGTTTTTATCCTAGCCAGTAGCATGATGAAAAAATTTCCCTTTTTTTTTTTTGCTTGTTTCTTTGTTTTGGTTTGTAGAATAGATGTTTTAAAAAGTAGTTCATCATTTATTGAAATGTTTTATTAGATAGGATGACTGTAACCTAAGTTCTAGGCAATGCTTTACACATCTTCAAAATTAGAAATAAAAGATGTTCCATTAAGCAAATATAAGATCAAACACAGTGATTAGAAAATGTGCTCCTGATGTGTTTTTGGGTAGAGCATGAGTCAAGAGCTTTAGGAAGCATATTTTCCCCACCAGCCAACAGCTTTTGGAAGCGTATTTTCCCCTAGAATGAATGATTGTTATTTTGTATCACAATACATTTGAAGCTTTCTTGGAACTTCCTTGGTTGCACCAAATATCAAGAACTTGACTCAGTGTCCTCCTAAAGAAAGTTCACTGGGTGCGGTGGCTCACGCCTGTAATCCCAGGACTTTGGGAGGCCAAGGCAGGTAGATCACCTGAGGTCAGGAGTTCAAGATCAGCCTGACCAACATGGTGAAACCCCGTCTCTACTAAAAATACAAAAATTAGCTGGGCGTGGTAATGGGCACCTGTAATCCCAACTACTCAGGAGGCTGAGGCAGGAGAATCACTTGAACCTGGGAGGTGGAGTTTGCAGTAAGCCAAGATAGCACCATTGCACTCCAGCCTGGGCCACACAGAGAGAATCTGTCTCAAAAAAAAAAAAAAAAAAAACGTTTCATATTATTAGGATTCTTTATGTTATAAATAACAGAAAATCCAATTCAAAATGGCATAAACAATATGTTATTGACTTATATAACTAAACCATTCAGAGGTCAAACACCAGGTTTGATTTGTTCAGTATATTTTGAAGTCTGAGGCCCCATTTCTTTATGTCCTTTTCTCCCAGGAGTGCTGGCTTTTTCCTGTGGAGAGTTTTGCCTCAAAGTAGCAAGATGACTACTCATAGTTATAGGGTAATATGTTTTTGTGTTCATATTTACTTGGAGAGAAAGGGAATTTCTTTTCCCTTAAACCACAATTGGAATCATATTTTGTCCTGTTTGGACAAAATTAAGAAACTGACATGAATTTAAGCTTGGATGGACTGTTCATTCCTCAGCTACTATAAGAAGTACAGCTGGGGCCAGGCGCGGTGGCTCACGCCTGTAATCCCAGCACTTTGGGAGGCCGAGGCGGGTGGATCATGAGGTCAGGAGATCGAGACCATCCTGGCTAACAAGGTGAAACCCCGTCTCTACTAAAAATACAAAAAATTAGCCGGGCGCGGTGGCCGGCGCCTGTAGTCCCAGCTACTCGGGAGGCTGAGGCAGGAGAATGGCGTGAACCCGGGAAGCGGAGCTTGCAGTGAGCCGAGATTGCGCCACTGCAGTCCGCAGTCCGGCCTGGGCGACAGAGCGAGACTCCGTCTCAAAAAAAAAAAAAAAAAGAAGTACAGCTGGGCATGGTGGCTCATGCCTGTAATCCCAACATTTTGGGGGAATGAGGAGGGTGGATCACCTGAGGTCAGGAGTTTTAGACCAGCCTGGCCAACATGGTGAGACCCCGTTTTTACTACAAATACAAAAATTAGCTAGGCATGGTAGTGCACATCTGTAATCCCAGCTACCTGGGAGGCTGAGACAGGAGAATTGCTTGAATCCAGAAGGCGGCAGTTGCAGTGAGCCGAGATCGGGCCACTGACCTCCAACCTGAGAGACAGAGTGAGACTCCGATTAAAAAAGAAAAAAAAGTACTCAGGTTATCTTGAGTACTGGGTGGGCATGCAAACAATTTTTACACGTATAAAGTGCAGAAGATGTCAAAGATAAAAACACTGTCTAATGGGTGCTCTTTTTCTGGCTAGTCTTAAGAACTTGATGCATTCTCTTCTTAACATATCATTGCTAGAACTCTGCCATAGTGTCAAAAGTAATTTTACTATAAATCCTAAACTGGACAGAGAGTCAAAATTAATCTGGTAGCCACTAACTTTTACTGTCCTTACTAGTTTGCAAAGTACACAGTTAGTTTAGTTTCCAGATTGATGACATCATAATACCAAAAAATCAACGTATTTATTAATAATAAAGTAAGAACAATTTTTAAAAAATTAAGGCCTTAAATGAGATTTGAAGAATATTAAAAATAAATGTTCTTGCTCTCCAGGGAATGAGAGGGGAGGAGCAAGGAGAATTTAATCATTGGAAACTAAGCCTGTGCTAGTATTAAAGTGGTATAACATTCCTTCCCACTGTGTTGTTTACAGTTACTTTTATCTTGCCTTGAAAAATGTAAGCTGTTTGTTATTTTTATGTACGTTTAAAGTTTATGTTATAGTTTTGTTAGAAACAAAATTTCAATGGCATTTAAATGCAAATTAACTAGAGTTTATGAAAATCTATTAAAATTATACAGTTTAATCCTATTTAAGATTCTACAACACAGGGAGAACAGGAGATGTGAAATAAAAGTGTATCTTCTGGCAAACAAAATAGGGAACCGTAATAATTATGCGGAAACCGTTGATAGGCTGTTACTATGTAGATCAAGGACAGTCCTAAAATAGTAACCTTTTAAAAGAATTCCATGGAAGTCCAGAGAAGCAAATGTTCCCTGGAGCACAGTTAATCAAATATGGCATGACTTATTTCTTGTGGTCTCTAAGTGTATGTACGCAGAGTGAGTTTAAACTAACCATTTCTATCATTCCTTACTTATCATATAGATAGATATAAAACATTGTTAATGCTCAATGTGTTCCAGGGTGTAGGAAACATACATTATTATAAATTGTTAGTTGGAGTATAACTTGATACAGTTTTTCCTGGAAATAATTGCTATACATGTAAAAGTTTTAAAATGTATGTGCCCTTCAATTTCATATCTATGGATATACCCTGAAGTGATAATTGAGCAAAAAAGGATGAAAAATAGAGGAAAGTTGTTCAACAAAGCATATCTTACAAGCATAAAGAAATGAAAACAACCCATGCAATAACGTATTTGTAACAACTGGATGGTGATATAGGTCAATACTTATTGGAACATAAAGGTGCTGAATATTTTCCTTAATTGATGAATAAATGTAATGTAATTGCTAACCAAAAACCAACAAAAGATAAAAATTTAAGTTGAGTTGCAAATATTTGGAGAAAGAAGAATAGTTAGGGAATACGAATCTTGCCACATATAAATACAGAAAAGCAATAATAGGAGGGAGAGGGGTGGGAGGGTAGGAAAGAAATAAAGAGAGGAAGAAAAGGAAGGGAGGGAAGAAAAGGAAGGGAGGGAAGGAAAGGAAAGGGAAGGGGAAGGAAAGGAAAAGGATGGGAAGGGAGGGAGGGAAAGAAAGAAAGCAGACATTGAGGAAATTATTTGGCAACTATATCAACTTTCTATTGGTATATTTCTATTTCTGTTGCTGTATCTATTTCTAGTAACAAAGCACCCTAAGAGTCTGAGGCTTAAATTCATAATAATTTATTATAGCTCTTGAATCATGATGATAGGGTTGGCTGGGCTTGGCTGATCTCAGCGGGTTTCTCTCAAGATTCTGAGGGTTGGCTAATTCTAGGATTATGTAAACTGACCTCATCTGAGGCAAGTAGGGTGGCTTGGACCTGTTCTTCCTGACTGTCCTCCATTTTCTGGGACTAGTGGATTAGCCTGGGCATATCCTAGGGGCAACGACAGAGTACAATAAGACAACAGAAACAAAGAAATTCTCTTGACACCGAGACTCAGAATTGGCACACATAACTTCTGCTGCTTATTAATAATATTAGCCAAAGCAAGTCATAAAGACTGCTTGGATGTAAGAGATGACAAAATAGTGATAAAGACCATAGAGTTACAGGTCAAGGGGCATGGATTTAGGAACAAAAACTAGGGCCATTAATACAAACTATAAAAACACCCAAGTAACGAGTAGATATTTTTGTGAGATTTCAAGAGTTGTTAGACATTAATCAAAGATTAATAAGTTGAAAAGTGCAAAGAATAAAAACTATAATTCACAGAAAAAGAAATATATTAATAAAAGGCTTATAAGCATAAAACTCATTTATAAATTTTAATTTTATTAAAAATTAAAATAATGCATATTATAATAATTATATACTTTTAATTACATCCATGAGACTGACAAAGTCTAAAATGGTGATAGTACCTTATGTTTACCAGAGTGTGAAGGTGAAGAAACATTCCTATTCTTTCTTTGTAGAAACTTAATTATTGAGATGTCATCAGAAGATAATTTTATAATATCCATCATAATTGGAAATTTACATTTTTTTAAAAACAATGGTTTTACTTCTAGGAATTTATTCTCTGATATACATGCATGTCCTATATGAATAGATAAATGGAGAGGAATGCTTATTGTTTATAACGAAATATACTAAAAGACTCAAATTTTCATCAATATGTGTATCCTTACACAAATTATGATGCTTTTCATTTTGTTAGATACCTTGTAAACACTGAAAAAGTGAAGTAAACTTTTGTCTTATGTAGGTTGTGTTTTTAAAAATAATTCTCATCTGGGCCAGGTGCGGTGACTCAGGCCTGTAATACCAGAACTTTGGGAGGCCGAGGCGGGTAGATCACCTGAGGTCAGGAATTCGAGACCAGCCTGACCAACATGGTGAAACCCTGTCTCTACTAAAAATACAAAATTTGCTGTGTGTCGTGGTGCATGCCTGTAATCCCAGCTACTTGAGAGGCTGATGCAGGAGTATCGCTTAAACCTGGGAGGCGGAGGTTGTGGTGAGCCGAAGTCGTGCCATTGCACTCCAGCCTGGGCAACAAGAGCGAAGCTCCGTCTCAAAGAAAAGAAACTAATAAAAAAAAATTCACATTTGAATGGTATAGAAAAACATTACGACATTCTGCAGCATCTAGAATACTTCCTAGTGTAGAAAAAGATGTTATTTAAATGGTATTTTGTTCACTCATTACTTATGTTTTATACATTTTATTTCTTTTTGAGCATCCTGAATTATGCATGCTAAAAGAATCAACAGTACAAATATTTATTTTAAAAAGTGAAAAACTGGCCAGATGTGGTGGCTTATGCCTGTAATACAAGCACTTTGGGAGGCCAAGACAAGCAGATCACTTGAGGTCATGAGTTTGAGACCAGCCTGGTCAACATGGCAAAACGCTATTTCTACAAAACAAACAAACCAAAACAAACAAACAAAAAACAAACAATTATCTAGGGGTGGTGGCCAGCACCTGTAGTCTCAGCTACTCCAGAGGCTGAGGCACTAGAATCGCTTGAACTCAGGAGGAGGAGGTTGCAGTGAGCCCAGATTGCACCATTGCACTCCAGCATGGGCGACAAGTGAGACTCTGTCTCAAAAAATGGAAATAAAAAAAGTGAGAAACTACTTTTAGTAGTGTCTTTTAAATTCAAAGCTATAAATGAAGGTCTTTTTCTATGTTCCTTTAACCATTAATTAATACATTTTGAGTGTCTGACAACTCTGTACTAGCTGTTCTGGGTGCTACAATTGCAGCATCCAGTCAAAGGGGCAAATATTCTAGTAAGGGGGAGAGATAAAGAAAATCAAATAAGCAAATGGATGAGTAATATAACTTCATATAGTAATAAATGTATTTGTTAAGAAATCACAAGTTTGATTCCTGCAGACACATCTCTGCTTCTTTTAGTTATTTGCACATACTTCTCTTATTTATTGAATATCTACTTTATAAAAGGAATAGTGCTAGCTGCTGTGGATATGATAGTAAATAAAATATCTCTTACTGCATGATGTTTACAGTCTTTGATGTAGCAGACCATTTTTTCCATTATATTTGTATTTCTCAATAGAAAGATTTGACCAGATCAGTGGTTCTCAAATTGGAGGAGCAGGGCTGTGCTAGCATAATCTCAATTTTTGGTCAAAGTACACATAGCCACCTTATATCCCCTTATTTAACTGTATTGGACCCATGTCATTCTTTTGGGTCTTTATCTATGCAGCAGAATGTGTGAGTGGCACATGGGCTTTAAACATTCTTTAGGTTGTGATATACTCCCCAGAAAATAAAAAAAGGAAGTATGAAATTTATCTGTCTCTCTTGTATAATAAACAATCTTGTGAAAATACTAGTTAGAATTACTCCCCCAAGAATTCTCTGGCATGATTCTCTATGTTCAGAAATGATGCTACCGACTACTAGAAGCAATTATGACTTCAAATCAGTGAGCAAAGGGGACATAAATATCTCCCCACATATAAAACACCGTGCCAAACAAGAGTCAGAAGAGTCAATAGGAAGATGAGTCAGCTTCATCATTTGTGTCGTGAAGATAGAGCCACCAGTCGATTTATTGGTTCACCATTTTACGCACAGATTTGGCAACACATGAAGTAAGCTTTGGAGTTCACTTTTCCAGAGACAGTCTGAAAAGGAGGGAGAGAGAGAGACAGAAGATGAGCTAAATGCATTTATAGGCTATTTTCCTCTGTCTGATTTCATGGGGTATCTCAGTCTGTCTTTCAAATTGAATATCTACTGTGTATCCAAGGTTGAACTCAGTCTTTTGTCCCTTTTTCTTAGACCTTCCTCCATCCTGCTATCTGTCCCTGCAGTATCTTAGACTCAAGAGTTTCAGAGCACATGCAGAAGGCAGGAGAGTGGTTACTTGAAAAATCCCCGGAAACTTGACAACCTGTAGCCACCTCTAATTTCGGAACATCCATCACCAGACATTTATCAAAAAGAGAAATTTATTTCTATTTCTTAATTTAGTGTTATTCAGGTCTCCCTCTTATATATAGTCATACCAAATCCTCACCTACAGATGTGATCATATATCTACATAAAGGGACAATGGCAGATAATTTTGGAGTTGTAAATATGAGTATTTTTATAGGAACTTACTATCCAACAGAGACATTGAAATCTTACAGTTAATTTTTTTATACCCATACATCAATAGACGTATTCAGCAATCATTAAAACAGTAATAGTATTTGTATGTGGAGAGGAGGCTAAAGAGATGAAATTCAAGAAGTAGAAAGTTCTAAAGAACTTTTATTATGTAGTAACAAAATATGTAACTCCTTCCAAAATGATCTATAAATTAGTGGAAAGTTTTATTCTAAAAGAATTTCTTTTGCAAGAAGTCTTAACAACCCTCATCTACATTTTACACAGAAATCAAAGTCCTAAATGAAGCCAGAGCACTTTAGAGAAAGAAAAGCAAATGAGGATCTAATTCTATCAGATATCAAGAATTAGTATAATGCTGTATTAACTTTGTGCAGCATTGATGCAAGGACTGACCAATTGAAAAGAATAAAGAGTCCAGAAGAAAGCCCACGTATATACAGAAAACATAACTTATAACTAATGTATCATTTTATATTACAGATTCAAGGATGTACTGTCAGTATTTAGAGTTAATGTTAGCAAACAGGTTAGTAGTAAAATACCTTTTTATCTGTAATTCCATCAAGATCAATATTTATGGGATCTGATTGAAATGGGTCTGAGTGAAATACAAATGATGGATTATGGGCAAAGTTAGACTTTTCGTAGAAAAACATGTCATTGTTGTGATAAGCATCACCAATGACATATGCTGAATATATTGATAATTTATCCAAAATTAAGATGGATCATTTGTGAAAACCACCAAATGTGCTCTAAAATCAATCAGCCATACATCATAGCCCATTAATTAAACTGCCTCCCTCCTGTCAAGGACCCTAGGCCACAGCTTACCACCTTCTTCAAAATGCTTAGGCAGAAGAGCCCTGCATCAAAATACAAACACCTCTGTGTCTGACCAGCAACCTCCTGTCTGCAGAATCTCATGCCATCTCAAGGCATTTTTGTTTGTTTGTTTGTTTGTTTTTACTCTTTATATTTCTATGTTGAAGCAAATGAATCACAACATGTTAAATTGCCTGGTAGGCAATCAGATTCCACTACAAAGGTGACCTATTAATAGTTACCTAGGGGTGACAAATAACAGTAGTTGAAAACATTTCTTCTTTAATCCACCACTAAAATTATTCACAAATTAAATGTTACCAACCTGTCATAATTCTGTGTTGTTGCATTTAGTTATGTAAAAATTTAAATATTTTAATACCGAACCGTAAATACTGCTTCTAAGTTTTCATGTTAGAATTGCCATTTCTACTTTTGTTACTACAAAATAAAGTGTTGCACTTTAATTTTTATGTTTCATAATTTTATGTATGGAATTACATAATATGTACACTTTTTTGACTGGCATATTTTAGTCAGCATACTTATATCGTGATTCATCCATGTCAGTTTGTATACCACAAATTTTTAATCTTTTTATAGCTGAGTAGCATTCTATTGTATTGATATGCCACAGTTTATTTAACCATTCATCTGTTGATGCACATTTATCTCGTGAAAATATCTAGCAGTGAAATGACTATAATTTTTTTTAATTCACTTGTGAGCTTTAGTAGCTTTTTAAATTGAGAAGTAGAAAAACTTTCTCTGTTGAGTGTGCAGACAATAACTATTTTAGGCTTTGCAGGAAACAAGATCTCCATCTCCTCCTCTTTTCCTACTCCTTCTCATTCTTTTTCTTCTCATCTTTTTAGCTTAAGCATCATACAATGCATAGGAAACAGGCCACATTTTATCTATGGGTGGTAGTTTGCCTGTCCTCACTGGATTTTCTACCTAAATAATTATATTATTTAAGAGTAAAATAATTACACTTTCTGTATTAGTCCATTCTCACACTGTTATGAAGATACTACCTGAATTAAACTAAAAAGTTTCTGTGCTGCAAAAGAAACAATCAGCAGAGTAAACAGACAACCCAAAAAGTGGGAGAAAATCTTCACAATATACACATCCAACAAAAGATTAATATCCAAAACCCACAAGGAACTCAAAAAAGGTCAGTAAGAAGGAAACAAACAATCCCATCAAAAAGTGGGTTATGGACATGAATGGGAAATTCTCAAAAGAAGATATACAAATGGCCAACAAACATAGGAAAACAAGCTCAACATCAGTAATGATCAGGGAAATGCAAATCAAAACCTCAATGTGATACCACCTTACTCCTGCAAGAAAGGCCATAATCAAAAAAATCCAAAAATAATAGATGTTGGTGTGAACGTGGTGCAAAGGGAACAATTTTATGCTGCTGATTGGAATATAAAATAGTACAACTGATATAAAAAACAGTGTGGAGATTCCTTAAAGGACTAAAAGTAAAACTACCATTCAATCCAGCAATCCCACTACTGATATCTACCCAGAGGAAAATAAATCGTTATACAAAAAAGATACTTGCACACACATGTTTATAGCAGCACAATTTGCAATTGCAAAAATATGGAACCGACCCAAATGCCCATCAATCAACCAGTGGATAAAGAAATTGTGGTATATATATACCTATGAATACTACTCAGCCATAAAAAGTAATGAAATGATGGCACTCACAGCAACCTAGATGGAATTGGAGATCATTATTCTAAGTAAAGTAACTCAGGAATGGAAAACGAAACATTGTACGTTCTCACTCATAAGTGGGAGCTAAACTATGAGGATGCAAAAGCATACAAATGATACAGTGGACTTTGGGGAAACAGGGGAAAGGGTGGGAGAGGGATGAGGGATAAAAGACTACACATTGGTACACAGTGTACACTGCTCAGGTGATGGGTACACTAAAATATCAGGAATCACCATAAAAAAACTTATTCATGTAACCAAACACCCTCTGTTCCCTCCAAATGTATTGAAATAATTTAAAAAGATACCACCTGAGACTGGGTAATTTATAAAGAAAGGAGATTTAATTAACTCACAGTTCTGCATGGCTGTAGAGGCCTCAGGAAAGTTATAATCATGGCAGAAGGCGGAGGAGAGGCAAGCACCTTCTTATCAAGGTGGCAAGAGAGAGAGAGAGCATGGGGAGGGGAACTGCCAAACACTTAGAAAAACAACAGCTCTCCTGAGAACGAACTCACTATCAGAATTCTAACAGCATGGGGGAACAAGAACCACCCCTATGATCCAATCACCTCCCACCAGGTCCCGCCCTTGGCACCTGGGAATTACAATTCAAGATGAAATTTGGATGGGAACAGAGAGCCAGACCATGTAACTTTATTTTTTTTTTTCCAATTTCGATGACTTCTACTTGTTTCCCTTTTCTTATTCCACTGTTTAGAATCCCCAGTACAATGTGGAATACAAGTGGTGACAGTTTTGTCCCTGGCCTTAGGACAAAGCATTTCATGTTTTTCATTGATTCCTTGATCATACTGAAAATGTTTTTTTCCAGAAGCAAATTACAAAGACAAGAATGAATGTAACTGTTAACTTTTCTTGCAATTTCTCAGTAAATTTTGTTTCACATACAAAAATACTTTAAGTCTGTCTTAATGATTTTCAATAAAATTTAAACATTTCTTTTCTAAAGATGTGTGTTTTTTGCCAGTTTTATTTTTAATTACATGGATTGCTAAAATCTTGTTTTCTATCTATTGCAAATATAGAGATATATAATTATTTTTTATTTGGTTTTCTATTCAAAATTTGTTAATCTCTCATTGTTTTTAATAACATATCTACAAAATTTGGGGGGCAAGCTATGTACCTGTGTACCAAATCCAGCATGCTCTTTGTTTTTATAAATATTAAAACACAACCACAGTCATTTTAATGAATTGTTTATTGTGAAATTTATGTTACAGAGTTAAATGCTTTCTAAAGGGACCACATGGCCCCCCAGAAATCTTAAATATCTATATTGTTCTTCACATAACATGTTTGTCAACCTCTGATGTGGACAATAATATCTACAAAAAACAAGAAACAAAACAAAATACCCCTACAATATTTTTCTTTTTAATCCTTACACTTTTTAATTATTATTCTTAATATATTGGTTAGGGCATCCAATGTAACATTGAGATAAAAGTATTCATATAGGGTGACTTTGCCTTGTTTCTACACCATACAGAATTGCTCTCACCCATTTATCATCAAGTATGATTGATTATAATTAGTTAAAAATCAGCTCAACTTTGATCTCTCTTCTCCATTTTACTAGTTTAGAAGTCATAGACTCTTTTTCTTTTCATCTAGTGTTCACATTAGGGGAATTTTGCAACGTACATCATTTGTTTCCAAATCTAATATCATTTGATTATAGTTACCCTAACCCTCCTCATGGAAAATGCAAGGATCTTAGATAATTTAATTATTTTTTAACTCTTGCTTACTTATATGCTTTGTTTTTTTTGCATTCATACATGTAAATGTATCTGCAGATATGCATATGTACTCCCGAACATTGTTTTATACAATAAATCTTGATTTATATTTATCTACATCTTTTAAATTAAGTTATTCTTTCTCCACTTTGTTTTGTGGAACTTCTATTTGATATCATATTCCCTGCAGCCTAAAGTATGTATTTTAGAATTTCCTTTAGTGCAAGTCTGCTGATCAAAATTTCTCCTAGCTTTTGTGGCTTTATTAACTTTCATTTGTTAAAAATATTTTTGAGAATTATAAAATTATTCTTTGACAGGTACTTTTTTCAAACCACTTTAGAGGCCATTCCACTATCTACTACCTTCCATTACTGCAGTTAAGAAATCTGCTGTCAATCAATCTTTCACTCTTTTTTTAAATTATTTTTTATTTTATTTTATTTTATTTTATTATTATTATACTTTAAGTTTTAGGGTACATGTGCACAATGTGCAGGTTAGTTACATATGTATACATGTGCCATGCTGGTGTGCTGCACCCATTAACTCATCATTTAGCATTAAGTATATCTCCTAATGCTAGCCCTCCCCCCTCCCCCCACCCCACAGCAGTCCCCAGAGTGTGATGTTTCCCTTCCTGTGTCCATGTGTTCTCATTGTTCAATTCCCACCTATGATTGAGAACATGCGGTGTTTGGTTTTTTGTCCTTGCGATAGTTTACTGAGAATGATGATTAGAAATCATCATTCTCTTTCACTCTTTTGATTGATTTTTCTTTTTTTCTTTTAGATTTCTTATAATGTTTGTAGGAGTGGATTCTTTTTTTAATTAAACTTACTTGGATGTTGAATATGTGAATTGGTATACTTTATTTGTTTTTAAATTTCCTTAGACATTATCTCTTTAAGTAATGACTCTGCTTCACTTCTTTTCTCCTTATCTTCAGTTAAATAAATGTTAGATATTCTCACTTCATCTTCTCTGTCTCCATTTCTCTCTTTTCTAATTTTCAAATTCAGTTGCTCTGTGGTTCATTGTGTATAGCTTTTTCTGATCTATTTCTCAGTTTACCACTTTCATTTCAAGTGTATTTAACAGGCTAATTTATCTATGAAATTCTCATTTTTCCCCAAATTTATTATTTCTGTATTTTTAAAGTTGAGTACATTGTATGTAAATTTCTCTTCAAATTTACTGATTCTATCCTCTCATCTCCACTCTATTACTGTACCAAACCAGATTTGGTTATTGCATTTTACTTTGGTTATTATTTTTTTAGGTTCTATAAATTCAGTTTGGTTCTTTTTTAAAAAATAAAGCTTGTGTTTTAGAGTGGATTTATATTTACAAGAAAAATATGAAAATAGCACAGAGAGATTCCATATATCACACACCCATTTTTCCATATTAATATCAAACATTGGTGTGGTCCATTTTAAAAAATAGACTAATATTGCTACAGTGTTATTAACTAATTCCATACCTTACTGAAATTTTATTAGTTTTCATTTAATTTCCATTTTCTGTTCCAGAATCCTGTCTAGGGTACTGCTTTGTTGCTCAATTGCATTTTTGGTTGCGCATTTGGAACTCTTATTAGTTGTTTCCTGTGTCCCATCGACATACTGCTATCACCATAGGGTTATCTGGAATACTTTATTGTTTTGTGATAATTAGCTCTGTGCTTAGACCTGCCAGACATCACCTAGCAGGTGGCTCCATGCTTGGCATACATCACTTAGCAAGTCACTCCATGCTTGGCCCTAGTGAAATCATGGCAGAGTGTATACGTGTGTATGTGTGTGTGTTTGTGTATGTGTGTGTGTGCGTGCACACGCAGTTTGTTCATTGGTTTTTCACTGGAATAAAGCTGGTATTGCTAAAAAACAAAAAACACTTTTGTTAGACACTGTTTTCTCGTTTTTTAACTACAGAGGACAGCCTTTTCATGGAATTTTATTTGTCTGTGCCTGTTTGTCATTCTGGGTCAGAGGCCTATGTATTTCCCTGTCCAGGATATATGGGGAACAACAAGGAAATCCAGGGAACTCATCTCTCTGATGTTCCTCAAGTTCCAAGGCTCCTAGCCATCTCATCTTTGTTCTACATTTAAGAGACTCCCTGTGCTTGTTTGTTGTTTTCCCAAAGACAGGTAGGACCTGGGAGAAATGGGGCCACTCTATGTTGTCAGGACCAGAACTTCTCTATAACATTTTAAGTTGTGATTATTATAATTTTTAATCTACAATTTCTCCAAGATTTTTCAAGAATCCTGTGTCATATTTAATAACTTCTAGTTTGGCACCAACATTTTCAAATTAGCTTTTGTCTCCATGAGCTTAGATAATGTAGTTATATTACATAATGTTTTGACAATTTCATTATTTGAAGGGCTGTGTATATTTTTTGTTGTCTATTGTTTTTGCTACTTCTGAATCATAGTTTGTTTTCTTCTCATGTCTTTTTATTTGATGTTGCACTGTTTATTAAATTTTTAAAATATTGTTTGTTAAAATATTTTGAGGACTAGGATGATGTTATCTTCCTCCAAAAATGATTTTCTTCTACCCTTTCCAAATACTTAGAAACGCCGATATTCTAGGATCATATTACCAATTGCTTAAACCTCAGGGTTTTCTGAGACACAGAAGGACTTCTACTTCTACTCAACCCCTGTAGTGTAACTCCATAGGATCACAGCAGAGGACTGATGGTGGCCCTTCCAGAGTTCTTAACCAAGGTTTTGTCAGTCCTGAAAAGTCATGTAAAGAACTATTAATATTAAGCTTCTCAGCTGCTTCCTTAAAGTTAGCATATGCTCTCAAGTTTGAAAGATCTGTCTGTGGGCTTACCCTACTGAGCTCTTGTCCATTCCTGGAGCTTGTTGGACTATTTTGGTAGATCTTAAATGTTTTTGAGTAAATCAACTTTATTCAATATTTGCTACATCTTTTAAAAATTAATCTAGCTACTTAGTTTTCCTTAGGAGAAGCAATATTTTAAATTGGTTTTCCATCATAATGCTCTTATTCCACAAGTTTTGAAAAAGGTTTTTCTTTTTAATTTTTAATTGTATAGAGTTTTTACGTTATATTTTTATTATTAAACTTTAACATATTTACATAACAACAAACAAAACTTTGTAACTATTTTGAAATTGCTGAAACTTTATTTCTTAGACTACTTTATGACTAATTTTGATGAGTATTCAGATGTGCTTGGAAAGAACAAATGGTCTACATTTGTTGGTTACAATATTGTATAAAAGACCATTAGATCAAATCTCTTCGTATTTGTCTCCTGCCTGTTTGCTTTTCTTAATTTTGAAATTGGCTGTGCATATTCTAACCTTATTATTTTTGTTTGCAACAGAAGGTAGGTCCTAGTACTCAGCTAAGATTTAATACAAATTTTTGACTTCAGTAAAAGTTGAATTGATTATTGTATATAGTAGATTGAGAATCCAACTTTCTAAAAGAGAATAATTATAACTTCACTTTTACTATTAATTTCAATATATTTGTGCTTCTTTTGTTGATACATTTTGGAAATTACCACCAAAGAAGATGATATCATTGAACCAATATAAACATTATTCAAAGGTAATAATCTGAAATAAAATAATAAAGCAAATTATTGAAGTATATGCTGATACTATTCCACTGATATAGGCTTTTGGTCACAATTACAAGCAACTTTCTCAGGCAAGTATTAAGGAATTTAATTCACCTTCAACTTCATTGTCCAAGTAGTTAGTTATAGAGAAAAGTGTTTCATTACACAAGACATTGGACTTTGTTTTTGCTGAAATTTGATGATTTCACTGAGAAAAAAAAAACGCTTGGCCAAATTTATATGCTAAAGTAGGCTGTTGATCTTTAGAAATAGAAATGAAAAATGCTAAAAAAAATTAAAGAATCTTAACTTTATGCAGATTCATGACATATGAGGCAGATAAAATTGAACATCTAAGTAAAATAAACCTGAAGTTTCAAAAGACAAATTTCAGTATGACTTCTCATGTTTTCAACAGTTTGAGCAAAAATCTAGCTATAGATAATGGGAATTGGTGCTAAAAATAAGTTATATAATTTTTACTTTATGAAGCTCTGAAAAATACATTATTTCTTCCCAATTTATTTCACAGGAAAAATTAAATACCATGTTCTTTTGCAGAATATAAAGTTACAATTTAGTTTCTTGATCTCATATTTGAAAAATATTGTTAGAAGCTTGGAAGAAATATTTTTAGATGGTATTTATTTGCAAGAAGATGCTCAAGAGGCATTTGGAATTCAAATGTAACTCAGTTGCCAAACACAACTTGCAAACTATATTATTTCATAATCATAAAATGCACTCATATATTTTCCCAATAAATAGACAAGGTTTTTTTTGTTTGTTTTGTTTTTTGGCCATTATGCCCCATAATACTCCTTTTATGTTAACATTAAAAAAAAAAAACAACAAAAAAACAGTGCCGCTCTTCTTTTATGGAGGTTTCACTTTGAAGCCAAAGTGGATTTACAAGAGAACGCATTGGAATAAGCCAAAAGTGACCCCATTTAATATGCAACTAGGAGGAAAACTTAAGCCACAAAAGTATCCTCAGTGTTCATATTGTTTTTATATGAAGGACATTTAACTAAAACTACTTGTAATATGAAAATGGCCATTTCAGTTCATATTTACCATTCTTATTTGTATTTAATCACAGTATTTTATTTATTTTGAAATGATTTTAAATGTGATTAGAATGGCTTTCCAAAGGAGGCGCAAGCTCTAAAATCTTAATGATTTTACTAAAACTTTTATAATTTAAAGTTTAAAAGATTTCACTAAATCCATACTACAAGGCAATTTAATACTTTTACAATCTTATTCATAAATAATAAAATAACTCAAAGTGTTTAAGTGAAGATGTTATGAAATATAAAGCATAAACATCTCTGAGGTTAGCTGGGAATTATGATTTACACATTAAACATATATTAACAAATTAAAATAAAGTAGAGTTCACAGATAAATCTATGAGCTGAATTTTTTGAAGATAATAATTTTGACCATATATACGTATCCTGGTCAAGGAAACAAGAAAAAATATCTAGAACATAGAAATGTAGAAATTACTATGGTAGAGGAAGTAATAAAAAGCAGTATAGTGGAAACCTTGTTCAGTTGTTTACAAGTAAACTTAAACTTTCTATGTAGTGAATAATTACCAATTTTTTCCTGGTTCATGATGAAGCAATATATTAAATTTTTGGAATAAAGTGATGTGCCAAAATTACAACATATCTTAATTTTAGTAATTAAGAACTTTAAAAGTGAATCAATAAACACAAAACTACAAACCTAAACCTAGCAGAAGTGTTAAGAACAAAGGTGAATAATTACTTGATCTAAATTTGAGAGCCTAAAGATATACATGTTATTTAAAGTCATGAAATTTGATGAGGCTCTCTGGTGGAAAAGTGTAGGGTAGAGAAGAAAAGGGATTCCAAAATTAAATCCTGAAAACCCTAGTATTTACAGAGAATTATAAACCATTAACCACTATGTATAGTGTTAATATATTAATAGTGTAATCAATATTGTAATTAATACTGTAATTATTATTGTAATATTAATATTGTAATAACTTTCTAAAATAAGTTCATAGCTATATTATTTTCAGGATCAATGTTCATATGCTCAAATTCCTGCACAGATAAGAAAAAATGGTTGGGATCAACTGGGCTCTGTGTCTAGCTAGGCTAGTGTGATGAAAGGAGAGAAAAGCCAAAACATTAAGGATTTTTGCAAGTTGAGGATATTTGCAAGAAAGACTGCCAGTTTCAAAGCAGACCAAGAAATTTAAGTTAGATCTGAAGGAAGACAAAATAGGGTGGACAGATACTGAGAAATAAGTGTGATTACTTCCTTCCCTAATTCAACTAATATTTATAGAATTTTTATTATGGCTCAGTGTTGGAAAAATCCATTTTAGATGCTAAGTCCACAAGAAATATTAAAAAAATAGAAAATAAATGGAAATCTATAAACCAGAAGCCAAGTCTTCAAAAAGAAGAGTTCACCTATGAGTACAATGGTAATAAAAAGAGGGGTAGTTAATATAGCTAAATTATTTGAATATCAAAAGAGAAGGACATTTTCCAGAAGACAAGTGGAGAAAGCATTGGAATAAGCAACAGGGATCAAAGAGAATACCCATAATACCTCCTGAACCTGGGATGTTTTAGGATGAGAGAGAAAAATAATCCTGCAGCTGAGAAGTCTGTCCGGGATGTTAAATACAGTGAGTTCTAAGTTTCTCTTCAAAGAATCAGTATGTCAGTATGTTCAGTTCTTTGTTCTCCATTTTAAAGTTTAACTTCCTCATTCTCTTCATCCCCTTGCTCCTAGTTTCAGTAAACAACCTTCCCACTAGTTCTAATCAGTAGTTCACATCTGTTCCCCTGGTCACCTGCTCCATCCTGAGTCACCCCTGGTCACCTGCTCTGACCTGAGTCACCTTTAGTCACTTGTTCAATAATTTTCTTTGCCCCCAAAACTGCTCACCCTGCCACTCTGGCTCGTACCCCTGCTCTCTTTAAAACAGCCAAATTGGAATAAGCTTAGACTGTGTGCTCCAACCCTAGCCAATAGGGGAACGCCACAGCAGTAGGGGCTACCTGCAACAGGGATAAGAACCCCTTCCCTTCGCTTGTTCTGGTGTGCTCTTGCCTTTGCTCCAACCACAAGACACACCCTTCTATAGAAGTAAAATTGCCTTGCTGAGAAAATTTATGTTTGAGTGCTATTTCTTCCACGGCACCAAAAATTTATTTCTAATAGGGATTAAAACAGGGAAACTTGTTTCACATGAGGCAAGAAGAGAAGAGAGTTTTTGAATTTTAAATTTGAAATAAGAGAGTTTCAAATCGTGGATACAGATGATTACAGTTTACAGGATGAAGGCTCTAAAGTTTGGACTTGGTTTCTGAAATGTGCAGTGGATGACAGTCACTGGAATCAAGCAGTCCAGTCACAGTATGAGTCATGCTGAAATTCTCAGGTGACAATGGCATTTGTGGTGGTAGGGAGTCACTGATATGGATAATTAAAACTTGGCTAAATGTGGGTAAATAACAGGGGGCCTGTAGAGAATGCTGACAAAAAGGCATATAGAATAGTTGAGACAGATGCTGTGGGCCTAAAAGGAGGAGTCAATAGTACATAACAATGGAGTGAAAAGTTCTTAAAATGACAAAAGAAGCATGCGAAGATCTGAGTCTCTTTTATCAGCTTTTGTGTACAAGAGACATATAAATGAAGGAAACATGGAGGAGCAAGAGGGTGTGGGGAATTTACGTAAACCTTTGAGCAGGTAGGAGAGGTTAAGATGGAATGGGGACCGCAGAGTACGTTGTGATAAGCAGTAGAGAATGAATCAACTGAGCGGAAGTACCAGTCAGCATGCAGTTCAAAGTATAAAGGAAGTGTCTCTTCATGTCCTTTGCCTACTTTTCAATGTGTGTGTGTGTGTGTGTATATATATAATATATATATATAATATATATATAAAAATTTAAGTTCCTTATAGATGCTGGATATTAGACCTTTGTCAGAAGGATAGTTTGCAAAAATTATCTGCTATTCTGTACATTGTTTCTTCTGATGATATTTTCTTTCACTGTGCAGCAGGTTTTTAGCTTAATTAAATCCCACTTGTCAAGTTTTGCTTTGCTTTTGTCACAATTGCTTTTGGAGTCTTCGTCATGAAATCTTTGCCCATGCCTATGTCCTGAATGACATTGTCTAGGTTTTCTTCTAGGGTTTTTATAGTTTTCAGTTTTACATTTTTAAGTCTTTAATCCATCTTGAGTTGATTTTTGTGTATGGCGTAATAAAGGGGTCTAGTTTTAATTTTTCTGTATAGGGTTAGCCAGTTTTTCAAGCACCATTTATTAAATAGGGAATCCTTTTTCCACTGTTTGTTTTTGTCAGGTTTCTTGTAGATCAGATGGTTGTAGGTGTGCAGTCTTATTTCTGGCTTCTCTATTCTGTTCTGTTGGTCTATGAGTTCTTGTACTAACACCATGCTGTTTTGGTTACTGAAGCGTTGTAGTATAGTTTGAAGTCAGGTAGCATAAAGCCTTCCTGTTGGAGGGTGGCTGGTGGGAGGAGAGACGGCATCAGGAAGAATAGCTAATGGATGCTGGGCTTAATACCTAGGTGATGGGATGATCTGTGCAGCAAATCATCATGGCACATGTTTACCTATATAACAAAGCTGCACATCCTGCACATGTACCCCTGAACTTAAAATAAAATTTGAAAAAATTTTTTAAAGAGTATAAATGAAGAGGTAACTGGGGACTGAGGGTTATGGAGGTGCTACATAATGAACCATGTTCCAGAAAAACTTGTCAGATATCAATAATGTTAACATGATGGGAGTTTCAGAAAAAAAGTTTTATCATGTGCTCTGATGTGGTTCTCTAAAGCTGGCTTGGATGAGGAGACACTGTCAATAATTTTGGGCAAATGATGTTGAATCCTGTATAAGGGAGTGAAATATGGCTCCAGGTGCTAGGGATATCATGAGGAAGTTATTACTGCTTGATGCTAAAGTACTCTGCATTGAAATAAATTAGATAACAACTTAAAAAATTATGGATACCCTTGTTATAAATTCATTTGTCTACAAAACACTAAAACACCCATATGAAAATAAAAAAATAGCCAACCTTTCTAAAACTATATCAGTTTTTCTTACCTGGTGTTGAGAACTGTCATTTTTGTTTTTCTTATTTGAGTTGAACTGGTTAGCTTAAAATTACTTTCATAAGCTTCAATATCAGCCTTGGTGACAGAGGACTTTTACTGGCCAAATCAAGGACTATTTTGAATTTTTTTATATATGCTATGGGGACATTTGAAAACCTGAAATATTTTTCAAAATTAATTAAATGATAATAGAACAACTGTTATGGCATTTTAAATTTATGCTCTGAGACCTAAGTAGAATATTATGGAAGTAAAATATCATTCCCATTCATTACCAATGTCTTCATGAAATGAAATTCCAAATGCTTCACTGGTCACTATTTCCCATCTAAATGAGGAGATATATCTTCAGACAATGGATTCTTGGCATTTTGAATCTATCTTTATTTTGAAATTAGGGAAAATTTACTAAAGGCCTAGTAAAGTTCTTTTATGAATCTCGTTCTGTCTTAAGTAAGATCAAGTTGTTTAACTTATAACTTTGAATCACGTTCTGTGGCAGTATCCTTAACTAATGTCACAGGGAATCTTATTGGAAGATACGAGGTAATAAAATGTCTTACCATCAAAACAGAAGGGCTGATATGTAGAAAATATAATCTCTACTTCCCTTATGTACTGCGAATCTTATTTTCCTTAAATGAAGAAGCATTTTTTTTCTATTTCTTTAGGAAATGCTGTCACAATAATGTGTTTTTCAGAATGAGATATATAAAATAGATATAATATATGCTTATGTTTGTGTGTATGTGCATGTGTGTGTTTATAGAAGACTGCACCATCGAAAATATTTTAGCAGATAAAACATTCTGTTTTGTGGGAAATGGAGGAATATGAGAGGAGTGGAAAGCAAATATGAAATGGGCATATAGAACAAGGAGGTTGCACTGAAAAATATACTATTTCTAACACAAACACACATCTTCAGAAGTGGTAATTAACATTTGGTAATATTACATTCAATTTTATAGTCCTTCAAATAGCAATTTTAAATATACTTATTTATTTTCTTATTAATCCCCTGACAGATAGCAAGTAAGATAACATTTATCCTAGCCTCATTACTCAGTGCACATTATGGCCAGGCCACCCAAACCGGAATGCATTTGAACTACAGAAGAAAACCTAATCTTTTTCTTCCAATTATGAACAATAACTCATTAAGGGTAACTGAGAAATGAGTTAGTCACATGACTTACATATGATAGAACTAAGTATTATCAGTTTGATTAGATTTTATTGACAAAATATCAGATTGACTGCACTTTTAATCCCATTTCCTTATCCTTTTGTGCATCAAATTTATTAAATCTTTTTTTTAAAATTATTCTCTCAACACTTGTGAAGGCATATGCTTCTAAACCAGTTGGTCTGTAACATTGACTTTTCTTCCTTATGTCTCTGGTCTTTGTGCCTGGCCCTTTTTTGCACTTCCCTGAAGACCTCATCCACATAGCTTTAATTAGTATGTCCGTGCTAGTGTATTCTACGAATTATATCTTAGATACATCTCTAGAGCCACATTTCCAGGTATGTGGCAGATATAGTAACCTGGTTTCTCACAGGAAATGGAAATTCAGTGGGTTCAAACTAAATTCATAATTTTTCCTCAAGGCATCTTCCTTGTGTGCTATTCTTGGTTAATGGCATTACCATCTATTAAATGTATTAATTCTATAAATATGTAGTGAATATTATGAACTGGCATTATCTCAATGCACTTATAGTGAATAGGTATTTCAACCAGAGACAGTTTTTACCTAATATAGCTTAAGCTAGGTCATGCCTTCCTTGTAGAGGCCTTTTATGAAACTCAGAAAGTTCTTCTCCAAGTTAAATGTTGGGGAGGAAGCCACAACTCCAACAGAGTCAATGCCTCTGCCTAGAGGTTACCCTCCATGGCTTGGATGGTGGTGGTCCTGGGGTTGCCAGCAGTGCCTCCAGCTCCCAAATTCATTGTCCACTTGCCTACTTGACCCTGTCACTGACCTAATAAAATTAGAGCCCAAAGAGATGCTGCTGCTTCATATCCTGTCCATGACTATGCCCTGGGCTTCATGACTATCTGATCCTCCGAGGGCTGACTTGTGGTTTAGGGTATAGAAGTGGGCATAAAGCAAGGAACTGGCCCAGCTGGACCAAATGCTGCTGCCACAAGCCAGCCATAAAGGGCCACACTGAGAGTGAAAGAGGGACTGAGGTTGGATGGTTTTCCAGGAGCAAGAAACCGGAGGATATTCCAGGTACAACATTGTCAATTGCTCGTAGTAAAAATTATGAAAAAGTTTCAAATAATTGACAATAATCAAAATAGTTTTGGTTGATGATGCTGATTTCTCATTTCCTGTTTGTTTTTTAGAAGATAATATAAGAAAATCTTTGTGACATGAAGAGGCAGTATGTATGAAGTCACAAAAATAAAAGAGTATATCACCCAGTTTGTGAATAATAATATATTTCCTGAACTTTGATGTTTATGGTATTCTTCAGCTTTTAAAAACTGGTGATTTATTGTAATTCTTTTACATATTCTAAATAAATATTCACTTATATAATTAATTTTGTAATTTTTCTTATAGAGCCCTTCCCTCAGGTTAATGTTCAAACCCCACAAACCTTGGATCTGCTGAGTCAAAAAGGGACCAACTTTATCAACACTAGAATCAGCATTAGTGATGACAGCGGTGGCAGTAGTATCAAGACCAGGAAAATAAATGGGTTCTTACTAAACATGACTATTCTATCCTATTCCAGGTCCCAAAGGGTCTCATTACAGTTTATTGACTCTTTTTCTTTCTGTATCATCAAGAATTTTCTCTTCATCCTGCCTTCCTTGTGTGACAAAAGCATGCATTGTTCTCTCACATATGGGTAAAAAAAAAAATGAACTTGGAAAAATTAAAACCTACTTCCTCTGCTTTGCTGTTCTTCTTTGTTTCTTTTTCACTTTCAAATATCAGGAAGAATGATTTACAGCAAGACAATTTGCTCATTCACTCATGCCCTGTGAAATCTCTTCTATAAGATGTTTCTTCCTTTCCTTTCTCTCTCTCTCCCTTCCTTCCTTCCTTTCTTCCTCCTTCCCTCCTCCCACGCCTTGGAGTCTCACTCTGTCTCTCAAGTTGAAGTTGGAGTGCAGTGGCAGGATCTTGGCTAGCTGCAACCTCTGCCTCCTGGGCTCAAGCGATTCTCCTGCCTCAGTCTCCTGAGTAGCTGGGATTACAGGTGTGTGCCACCATGCTCAGCTAATTTTTTTGTATTTTAGAAGAGACAGGGCTTCACCATGTTGCCCAGGGTGGTTTCGAAGTCTTGAGCTCAGGCAATCAGCCTGCCTCAGCCTCCCAAAGTATTGGGATTACAGACGTGAGCCATCATGCCTGGCCTCCTCATCTCTTCCCCTTTCTCTCCCCTTCTCCCTTGTCTCTTCCCTTCCTCTCCTCCCCTCCCCTCCCCTACATTGTATTTTTTATCTTGAAAGCCTCCAATGACAATCTGATTTCAAAATCCTCTGCACTTTATTTTTATACTTTGCTAATCCTATTTTTGTTTTATAAGTTCTTTTCTTCTTGAAATGTTTTCCCACATCCTCTGCTTCTATGCTTGCTTCATTACTTTGCAAGGAACTCTTTAACTTCCTTTTTGATTACTTTTATTTCTCCCATCCTTACTCGCGAGAATCATGTAAAACCCTTGGCCTTCTTCTTATTTTTGGAAGAACTCATTCTTTCTCATGTCTTTAGCCACAGCCTTATGCTTTTGATTCTATAGCCCTTTGGCAATTCACATCTACTGTCTTCACTCTACATTTGTTCTTCCTTCCATCTTAAATCTCTTTGGTTTATATAAATCAGGTGAAATCATATTGTGGCTGAGTAAATTGAGAAGCTATACATTTTACTTAAGTATTGAAATTTGAGAGAAGTTTGCCTCTACTGTGGCTAGTACTATAGTAATTTTTTTCAAAAACTCATGCAAATTATTATTTCTCCTCGAATCTTCGTATGCAAAATGAAGAAAAACTTGGGGTATTGAAAGTGTCACATATGAAAATGCACACAGGAGTGCAGCATTCAGCAATGGTGTTCAGGAAGCCACCTCAGCCTGTGCAAATAGTATCCATGACATTGGCCTTTCTAGCAGAGAGCACAGTGACAACCCCTTTTCAGAGAAAGCATCTGTGCTTAGTGGAGAAGTTATGTTGCTGAGTGGAGCAGTTTGAAAGCTGCGGGAGGTAATTTGTTATTGGAGACCAACGAACTTATTTTCTTCCATGATTCTAGGACCTAATCGTACTCAGAAGAAAGAATCTTTGAAATTAAGATGTCATTAGTGAATGATGTGGAAAGAGTCTGGGTTCTCTGTGCAGCATCCAAAAATCAGATATCATTTAGAAGTTGACTTATAATATTTTCAGATAATCAGCTATATACTGCATATTGTTCAGATAATTTTCAGATAGTTATTCAGATGATAATTTTTCAAGTAATTGCTTGAATACTTTTCTTTTTGGATATATTTCTGTTATTTAAAAACTTTGCATATCCTATAATGTATAATATATATTTATATATATGTATATCAATATATACTTATATAATGATACCTGTGTAAGTTATATAGAAGTATATATAATATATAATATGGTATAATATATATTTTGACTTATCTCTAGGAGTTGAAATTGTCCTGGAGAGCAAGGAATTTATTTATTTATTTTAAATTATTTTACAGCCTTTTAATGGTATAATTGATATACAATAAAGTACACACTTAATAAGTTTTGACACATATGTGTTTGCATCTATCTAGCCATCTAGGTATGTATGTTAATATTATCACCACCATCAATATAATGAACATAACAATCACCCCAAAAGTTCTTCATGCCCCCATTTTAATCCACCTCTTTCAAATCTTCCTGGTTGCTCCCTCTCCCTTCCCCAGGCACCATTGAGATTAGTTTATATTTCCTAAAATTTTATATAAACAAAATCATATAGATGTAATCTTTTTGTCTGACTTCTTTCATACAGCATTATTTTGAGGTTAACTTATTGCAACGATTAGGGTAGTGTATTTATTTAAACTGCTGAATAATATTCCATTGCACAAATATAACACAGTTTGTTTTCCCATGAACGTTTGAGTTGTTTCCTGTTTGGGGCTATTTAAAATAAGGTTACTTTGAACATCTGTGGATAGGTTTTTAACGACAAATATTCTATCCTCAATTTTCTGAAAGACCTTTCATATAATTGGTATCCTTTCCATAAATATAGAGTAGAATTTCCCAATAAGGCCATCCTGGCCTGAGTTTTCTTTGCAGGGAGGCTTTTAACTAAAATTTTACTTTTATCATAGAATATAGGGTCACAAAATTGATCTTTTTCATTTTGAGTGAGTTTGGTACTTTATGTCTATCACAATACCTATTTTCTACTACAATAATGTTCTGTATTCTGAAATCTACTTTGTGCAATATTAGTATAGTCACTTCAATTTTCTTTGAATTAGCACTATCTTTGTATATCCTTTTCCAGAATTTTTACTTTAAGCTATTTGTGTCTTTGTAATGAGAGTGGATTTCTCATAGTAAGTATATAATTGAATTGTGCTTCAGTACTCAGACAATCTATTTTAATTGGGGTGTTTAGATCATTTTGATTTTACCTGATTATTGATATATAGTAATGTGCTGCACAATAATATTTTAGTCAATGACAGATCCCGCATATACGACAGTGGCCCCATAAGATTATAATGGAGCTGAAAAATTCCTACTGCCTGGTGACTCTGTAGCCCCTAATGTTCTAGTGCAATGCATTGTGGTGACGCCAGTATAAACAGACCTACTGTGCTGTCACTCTTATAAAAGTGTAGTACATAAAATTATGTAATGTACATGATACTTGATAATGATAAATGACTATGTTACTGGTCTATACTATACTATACTATACTTTTTATTGTAACTTTAGAGTGTACTCCTGTACTTACAAAAAAAAAAAAGTTAACTGCCTCAGGCAGTTAGTTCCTTCAGGACGTATTCCAGAAGATGGCATTGTTATCATAGGAGATCACAGTTACATGTGTGTTATCGTCCCTGAGGATCTTCTAGTGGAACAAGATGAATACGTGAAAGACAGTGATATTAGTTATTCTTAACCTGTGTTGGCCTAGGCTAATATAAATGTTTCTGTCTTAGCTTTTAACAAAAAAGTTTAGAAAGTAAAAAAATAATTTAAAAATATTAAAATAGAAAAAAAATGATAGAATAAGAATATAGAGAGTATTTTTGTTTATCTGTACAATGTGTATTTTAAGCTAAGTATTGTTTAAAAAGAGTCAAAAAGTTAAAAAAATTAAAAAGTTTATAAAGAAAAACAGTTACAGTAAGCTAAGGTTAATTTATTATTGAAGAAAGAAAAATATTTTTTATTTTTTAGTTTTGTGCTTTCCAGCTTTTAGTTTAGGTTCAGGGGTACATGTGCAGGTTTGTTTCATGAGTAAATTGGATACTCATGGAGTACATTGTACAAATTATTTAGTCAACCAGGTAGTAAGCATAGTACCTGATAGGTATTTTTTGGATCCTAACCCTCCTTAGGCCGTCTATCTTCAAGTAGACCCTGGTGTCTATTCTTTCCCTCTTTTTGTGCATGTGAATTCAAAGTTTAACTGCCATTTATAAGTGAGAATAAGGGGTATTTGGTTTTCTGTTTCTGCGTCAATTTGCTTAGCGTAATGGCCTCCAGTTCCATCCATGTTCCTGCAAAGGAAATGATTTTGATCTCTTTTATGGCTGTATAGTATTGCTTGGTATATATATACCATATTTGCTTTATCTACTCCACCACTGTTGTGCACCTAGGTTGACTGCATGTCTTTGCTATTGTGAATAGTGCTGCAATGAACATATCAGTGCATGTGTCTTTATGGTGGAATGATGTGTATTACTTTGGATATATACCCAATAATGGCATTGCTGAGTCAAATGGTATCTTTGTTTCAAGTTCTTAGAGAAATCAAACTACTTCCACCATGGCTGAACTAATTTACACTCCCACAAGCAGGGTATGAGCATTCCCTTTTCTCTGCAATCTTGCAAGCATTTGTTATTTTTTGATATTTTAATAGTAGCTACTCTTATTGCTGTGAGATGATACCTTGTGGTGGTTTTGATTTGCATTTCTCTAATGATTTGGGAGGTTGAGCATTTTTTCTTGTTTATTGGCAACTTGTATGCTTCTTTTGATAAGTGTCTGTTCATGTCCTTTGCCCATTTTTTAAATGGGGATATTCGTTTTTGTGTTTGTTGATTTCTTTAAGCTCCTTATAGATTTTTGATATACATTTGATGAATGTATAGTTTGTAAATATTTGTTGTAATTCTGTAGATTGCCTGTTTACTCTGTTGATAGTTTCTTTTGCTGTGTGGAAAGCTCTTTAGTTTAATTAGTTCCCAGTTGTAAATTTTTGTTTTTGTTGCTTTTGGAGTCTTCATCATAAAATCTTTGCTAGGGCCTGTGTTCAGAATGGTATTTTCTAGCTTTTATTCTGGGGTTTTTATAGTTTTAGCTTTTACATTTAAGTCTTTAATTTATCTTGAGTTGATTTTTGTGTATGATGTAAGGAAAGAGTCCAGTTTCAATTTTCAGTATATGGCTAGCTAGGTATCCCAGCACCATTCATTGAATAGGGAGTCCTTTCTCCATTGTTTGTTATTGTTGACCCTGTCAAACTTCAAATGGTTATAGGTATGTGGCTTTATTTCTGATTCTCTAACCTATTTCATTGGTCTATATGTCTATTTTTATACCAGTACCATGTTGTTTTGTTTACCGTATCCTTGCAGTGTAGCTTGAAGTCAGATGGTGTGATGTCTCTAGTTTTGCTCTTTCTGCTTAGGATTTCTTTCGCTATTCAGGCACTTTTTGGGTTCCTTTTGAATTTTAGAAGTTTTTTTCTAATTCTCTGACAAATGTCATTGGTAGTTTTATAGGAATAGTATTGAATCTGTAATTTACTTTTGACAGTATAGCCATTTTAACAATATTGATTCTTCCTATGCATGAGCATGGAATGTTTTTCCGTTATTTAATGCCATCTCTGATTTTTTTGAGCAGTGTTTTGTAATTCTCACTATAGATGTCTTTCACCTTCCTGACTAGCATATTTGTAGGTATTTTATTCTTGTTATGTCTATTGTGAATGGGATTGTGCTCTTGATTTGACTCTCACCTTGGATGTTATTGCTGTACAGAAATGCTATTGGTTTCTGTATATTGATTTTTTATCCTGAAACTTTGTTGAAGTTGTTCATCAGATCTAGGCATCTTTGAGCAAGGACTATGGGATTTTCTCAGTATAGAATCACATTGTCAGTAAG